>NC_000010.11:86961277-87112792 GCF_000001405.40 Homo sapiens
CGTATGACCTTGAGAAGCAAAGGAACCTCTCTGGGCCTCCGTGTTCTCATCTGCAAGATGGGGGTGAGAGTGTCGGCCTCCCTGGGCTGTGTGATGAGGCAGGGCCATGACCTCCATGAAGCAATTCTCCTGGTCTATGTGAGCACCCAGCAGAGGAAGGTGACCATCATCATCATCATCATCATGTGTCCCAGGCAGAACACATAGAGCCCCAGGGGGCTCCTCCCTCCTCACCCCCAGCAAAAGAGGCCCTGGGGTGAGGGTGCCCGGGCATTCCTTGTGAATCCCGGAGCAGGGCTAGTGAGCCCTTGGAGCCACCTCGAGGGAGACTCATTTCCTGGTGACACCCCAAAACCAGTCACGACTCATCTCCCAGTGAACTGTGAAAGGCCTCAGCAGGGACTATCTGACCACTCATACCCCTGGCCTCATCATCAGCCTTAGGGCAGCAGGACTCAGCAGGTGGCCACCTGCCCTGCCCCTGGATAGCCTGGCCGACTCCCGCCAGCACAGCACTGCCCTTTTATGCCCCACTCCGCCAAGGGGCAGGATGGCCCTGGGGCAACACAGAGGTGACAGTATCCCCGCCTCCCCCCCGTCCCCCGCCAGAGGCAGGTGCTGAGGCCAGAGTGCAGGGCAATCACCAGTGTGGTCCTACACACCCAGCTGTCATGATATCTCACGCAAGTGTCTGGCCGGCATGGAGTGCAGGAGATAGAAGATGGGAAGTGAGAGAGGACTGTGTAACCTCTGCTGGCCCTGACCAGCCTGAGCCCAGAGCCTGTCCAGGAGGCAAAGAGAGGGAGCCATGCTCCTGTGGACTGAAGTGGGCCTGAAGCAAGCCTGATCTGATGCCAACACACCCCACCACTTTGAGCTCGAAGGCCCTGAGCTGCATGCCAAGCCTCCCTGGCCTCAGAGTCCCTATGTGAACCCCAATCAGTCTTCCTTGTAGGGCTACTGAGGGTGGGGTCAGACCTGGGGCTTCAGGGGCCTCTGCCCACTCTAACCCCCACTCCACCCTACCCCACCCAGGTTCCTCATCAGTGAAGCCCAACTAGGGGCTTCCCAGAGACTGGGGACCAGCTTGAGGGGTGAAGCTGGGCTCCAGGGTACTTGGTGCCCCTGGAAGGCCTCGGCATCATCAGAGCCCCGGGTATTGTCTGAATTGCACGCCCCCAATACCTCCAGCCCCTCCAAGTACAACAAGGCCACGAGGGGCCTCTGCTCCTCCTTGAGGCCAGGGTAGACAAGGCCCTGGTTGCAGGGCAGCTAGGGGTCTCTGCATTCTCCACATGGTCTCATGCCCCCTTTTGTCCCCTACAGGAGGACTTGAGGCCATCTGCCCCCCAACAGGAGGGTGAGGCATCCAAAGAGAAAGAGGAAGTGGCAGAGGAGGTAGGAGCTGGGCTCCTGGGGTGCACCATGGGGGGTTCCTTGGTAGGGACCCCATCCCCCACAGACGCACTGCTTCCCTCCTGGGCTCCCAGGGCCCAGAGGGGCCTCCTGACCTTCCACAGCCCCTACAGGGACTGTGTACAGGGCTAACCCTGAACCTGAGTGGGAGGTCCCCCCACGGATGACCCCTCAGGCATGGGGCACAGAAGACAACTTTTCTCAGCCCACTCAGGGTGGCCCATTAAGGCTGGGGCCTGGAGCTGGGTGTGCAGGTCATTCTCTCTCCCAGGCCCAGAGTGGGGGAGACTAGAGGGCTACAGGCCAGCGTGGATGACCTGAAGAGCGCTCCTCTGCCTTGGACACCATCCCCTCCTAGCACAAGGAGTGCCCGCCTTGAGTGACATGCGGCTGCCCACGCTCCTGCCCTCGTCTCCCTGGCCACCCTTGGCCTGTCCACCTGTGCTGCTGCACCAACCTCACTGCCCTCCCTCGGCCCCACCCACCCTCTGGTCCTTCTGACCCCACTTATGCTGCTGTGAATTTTTTTTTTAAATGATTCCAAATAAAACTTGAGCCCACTCCTGCCATGCTTCCTCTGGGTGCTGTGTAGCTTGAGGAGGGGTCCCCAGGTCCTCCCAGGAACAGGAACGGGTTCAGCCTGTTGATAGGACCAGGTATCCTATAGGGACACACACAGGGCATTCATGGGACCTGCGTGAGCCTTCAGGAACACCCCCAACCCACCCATTGCCTTTAACATGGAGGAGGCAGCACTGCCTTCGGCTCCCCAAGACATTCGACAGGACTCACAGTCCCATCCACGGGGATAGCTTAGCTCAGCCTCAAGGTAGCCCCCGCCTGCCTGCTCTGAGTCCCTGAGGAACCCACTGTCAGCAGGAGGTGAAGATAGGCTCCTGGGTCTTCCCTCCATGTGAGTTCTGGGCTCCAGTGTCGCAAGAGGAACAGGGCCACCTAACATCCTCCCTGGGGCAGATGGTGACTTTCAAAGATGGAGAAGTCTAAACCTAGTGAGGATGAAGGGCATCCCACAGGAGAGACAGAAGGTGGACCCTGCGGCGCCTCCCACCTGGCCCCAGCCAGTCTCATGCTCCCCGCTGGACCTGGAGCTGGGTACCCCTTGCACCCCTCCTGCACCCAGAAGCCTGCCAGTTGCCACCAAAAACACAACAGCAGAGACGCACGAAGCCGCACCTTGACAGAAAAATAGTAAAAAGCAACAGCTGCTGAGGTCCTCACAGGCGTTGACTGGGCACTGTTCTGAGCACTTCACCTTATTTAATCCTCAGAATAAACCTCTCAGGTTGGAGCTGTAGATCCAGGTTTTGCTGAGACGCACAGGACTGGGCAGAAGCCCAGGTGGCTCCCCAGCCCTGCTATGGCTGCATGGACCCCAAGGTGCTTACAGTGGATTGCCCCCAACCCAAAGTTTCAAAACAACCCAGGGCTTGCTGGCCAGTGGCCTACATGAAAGGCTGTTTGCCCAGCCCACTCTGAACAAGCCTGCCGGGCACGACGCAAACCACCCATCATGTAGGCCACTGGCCAGCGTGTCCTGGGTTGTTTTAAAGCCTTGCATGCCGGGCGGGCTTGTTCAGACCAGGGTTCCCTGGGGATCCTGGCTTCCCCTTTGATACTCAGATGGTTTGGGCTCAAAGCATCTCAGTGCCTTGCCCCAGGCCTTCAGGCCTGGGTGTTGGAGCCAGAGCTTGAGTCCGTCCACATGTGACTTCAGACACTGCCCTGTCCACACCGCCTCCCCATCCAGCCTCTGCAGTGGATTCAAGGGCAGCCCAGGAGGCTGGGAGCCCAGTCAGACACAGCGGAGCCAGGCTGTATCTGTTGTCTGGCCATGGGCATCCACTGAGGAGGCAGAACGGAGCAGGGGGCTGCTGGTCTCCACATCCCCAAGCACTGCCATGGGCAGGCATGAAGGGTCTGGAAGCAGCTCAGGCCAGTCAGGGCTGTTCCTGCTCCCCAGCCCAGACATGTACACATTAAGCAGGCCTGTATGAACCCAGGAGGAGGCCACCTGGGGCCTGGGTGTGCCCGAGAGTCCCCTGGGCTGTGAGAGAAAGCAAGGAGGAGCAAGGCTGGTCAGGTGATGGGGGTGAGGGAGAGGGCACCTATGCCCGGCTCCCAGCGACAACCTGCCCCAGGTTTCAGGGCCCTCTGCCTCTGCTGGAGGAGCCCAGAGGGGTCCCTGCTGCCCCTACCACAGCCCCCCTACAACCCCCTCTCACATACACTCAGGGCTTGTTCCTGGACTCAAATGACAAACATCACCAGAAAGCCCCTTCCCAGCCATGGGCACTGGCAGTGCTCTTTGCCTTTGAAACCTCATGTGCTCTGCACCCTGTGAGGCTGCTTCTGACCTCCCTGCAGGAGCACGGTTGACTCCCCTTATCCACCAGGATACACTCAAGATGTTTCCAGCTGCCTGCAACCCCAGATAGTACCAAAGCCTACATATGTATCTTCCTACACGTACACATGTGCCTCCCTATGATGAAGTTTATACATTAGGCACAGTAATAGACTAACAATAACCAGTAAGAAAACGGAACAATTATAACAATATACTGTAATGAAAGTTATTTAAAACATGAATTGTTTATTTCTAGAATTTTCTTTTTTTTTTTTTTTTGAGACGGAGTCTTACTCTGTCATCCAGGCTGGAGTGGTGGTGCGATCTCTGCTCACTGCAACCTCTGCCTCCCAGGTTCAAGTGATTCTCCTGCCTCAGCCTCCCAAGTAGCAGGGACTACAGGCGTGCGCCACCACGCCCAGCTAATTTTGGTACTTTTAGTACAGACAGGGTTTCACCATGTTGGCCAGGCTGGTCTCGAACTCCTGACTTCAAGCTATCCACCTACCTCGGCCTCCCAAAGTGCTGGGATTACAGGCAGGAGCCATCACGACCAGCTATTTCTGGAATTTTCCATTTAACATTTTGGACCTTACCAATTGCGGTGCAGGGGCCAAGGGAAAACTTCCCCTTTACCCTCTGAAGGTTCACTGAAAAGTCAGCTCATGAAAGCAGAATAGAAATGGAATACACATTCATTAGCATGCAAGGGGAAATCAGAGTGACTGCCCCACCACGAAATGGGGTACAGATGAGCAATGGGGAAGTGTGGGTAATTTCAGGGGGCTAGTAAATGATTTTCAGGGGAATTCAGTGGGCTTGAAGAACATACAGTGGCCTGGGACAAAGTCTGTTGGGCTCACAGAGCAGACAACGGTTTGCAAAATCTGTCCAGGTATGTGAGCAGGCTTCAGTCTTTCTTCCTGTGACAGCAGTTCAGTCAGAGAAAACTCCGGGAAGGGACCAGTGGTCATTGTTTTCTTCTTTGGTGGGTCCAGACTTAAGGCAGATGAGGAACTTCAGAGAACAACTTCACTGTATGCTTTGGAAGAGACAAAGGGTTGGGGGGCCTGTGGGAGTCTGGTCGGAGAGACCTTAAGGCTTCTTCAGTTCAGAATGTCACACCACTATATTTCGGGGTATTGGTTTCTGAGCCCCAACAATGAGTAACTGAAACTGCAGAAAGCGAAATCACAAATTAGCTGGGGGTGGTGGCTCATGCCTGTAATCTCAGCTACTCAGGAAGCTGAGGCAGAACTGCTTGAACCTGGAAGGCAGAGGTTGCAGTGAGCCAAGATCCCGCCATTGCACTCCAGCCTGGGCAACAAGAGCAAAACTCTGTCTCCAAAAACAAAAAAAGGGAAAAAAAAAAGTGACACCACAGCAAACTGGGGCGGGGGTGGGGGAAACGGTAATGCGGTAATGCGCTCCCTCCTTCTGCCTCTCCTTGTCTGAGAAGCCCTGGTGCCCTGCACGCTCTCACAAGGTCCACTGCTGAGTCCTGGGCACCCTTCAGCCAATTTAATCTTCACACACACACTTTGGGGAGACGCTGTGATGTGATGGGGATGTTGAGGCTCAGAGAAGTGAGGGGCTTGCTCTAAGAATATCTGAACCCAAGAGGTTTGACTGTAGTGCCTGCCGCTAGGGCCACGTGGAGCTCTCTCTACCACCATCTGCTGGGGGCTGGCTGTCTCTTCCCACAGAGGCTGCTCCCTTCCTGTCCAGCTCACAGCTCATTGCCCATGGGGCCTGGAGCCCAGTGGCACCACCAGCCTGTGATAAACTGGAACACTCGAAGGCCTGCCTGGCTATTGGGCACTACCGGTGGGATTTCAGGAGGGCTGGCAGGGCTGTGGCCAGCCAGGCAGGGCATGGCTGAGATGGGCTCCCCAGAGTCCCCAAGGCATCCATATGGCCGCTCCCAGGGCAAGGCCTCGCTCTGGGAGAGGAGGGGCGGGGGGCTGGGAGGACTGTTGCTGCCGCTTTGTTTTGCCTGAGACCTGCTCCCTCCCCCTTCCTCCACCTAATCTCATCACCTGCCTCTTCCCTTTGCCCAGGGTTGACCTCATCTCCATTAATCCATACCGTGTGTGTGTGTGTGTGTGTGTGTGTGTGTGTGTGTGTGTGTGTGTGTGTACAGGTGCACTTCCAAACAACTCCCTCTAGGGGCTGACCCCGCAGCACTAGAAGCAGGGTATGTGCCAGCAGACCAAGCCTGTGTGGCAGGGGCTTCCCAGCGCTCCAGAATAGGGGAGACACCAGCAGAGGTGCAAGAAACAGCCCCGGACAGGAAGCGGTAGAGAGACCCAGAAAGGCAGGGTGGGTGTGCACTGGCCTCCAGGTCCTGAAGGCCTACTCTGGAGTGGGAGTATACCCAGCTGGGTGGGGCCTGACCTACACCCCTTGTGTGCCAGGGGAATGTATCTTGCAAGCTGTTTTGCTGCACCCAAGGATGATCTTCTCCACTCAGGCCCAGGTCCCTAAGTCCCCTCCTAACAGCCACAAGTCATACTCTCTAGCGCCTTGCCTGCCCCATCTCAGGAAAGGTGACCTGAGAGGCCCAAGCTTATTCCTGCCCTCCCTGAGCCATGCTTCCTGCCCAACTTCCTAAGGCTTCGGTGACAGACGGCAATCTCCTTGCCTGGGCTGCACAGGCACACTGCCCTCTCCCCCTTGGGGTTGCATGGTCTGCAAGTGCACACACCTGTATCTCGCCCTCTCAGGGGAAAGATTTACCAGGCCCTCTCCGGCTGCATCCACTGGGTCTCTGGCTACAGGCAGAGAGCCAGTCAGCAGTGCCCCTGCAGCTGTTTGGGGCTGGGGGCTCCGATGATGCCAGAGCCCTAGGGTTTACAGGCACCTAGGCAGATTCGAGGATCCAAGTCCCTGCCACATGCGTTTGGGTGAGACCGACCTCACTGCCTCAGTTTCCTCCTATACACTGATGCTATCAACAAAAATACCCACTTCAGGAGGTGGTTGTAAAGATTATACAAGAGACTGCAGAGCGTTAGGCAGCACCTGGCACAAGACAAATGCTCAGTAAAAGACCACTGCTGTCATTAAGGTCAACACCAGCCCTGAGCTCCTGCCCTGGAGCTGACCCAGCGCTCACGCCCAGGATCAGAAAGGGAGGGCTGGGGCTGATGAGCTGGGAGGTGGTGTGCGCCCTTCTCCTGCCTCCAGCTCCTCTCTGGACCCCTGTCCTGGCACCTCTTCGGTCCCTGGTTCGGTCTGCCCCTTTCCCACCGCGGCCCGTCTTAGGCCAGGATGTGCTCCCTGCCCTGCGGACTCTGGAGCAGGGCCCGGCCACTCCCCGGAGCCTGTATGACGGGAACCGCCCCGCGCCCTCTCCCCTACGCGGGGCAGGCCAGCCCTGGGGCGCCTTAAAAACCGGAGCTGGCGCTTGGCATCGCCACTCTGGGCAGGATCCAACGTCGCTCCAGCTGCTCTTGACGACTCCACAGATACCCCGAAGCCATGGCAAGCAAGGGCTTGCAGGACCTGAAGCAACAGGTGGAGGGGACCGCCCAGGAAGCCGGTGAGGATAGCGCGCGACCTAGGGCTCAGGCAGGGGCACCTGCGTGGATGCGCAGGCAGAAGCAGCGGGTCGGCGCGGTCCGCAAGTTCCTGGACCGGCAGCTTGGCTCGGAAGGCTCGGTCCTCCACTGAGACGCAGGGGGCAGGCAGAACGCCCACCCCGGCGAGCAGACAGATGGTGCCCGCAGGGAGGCAGCGGAACAGAGGCTCCGGAGGAGCCGGAGCTGCGCTGCGGGCACTGCGGGAGCCCCTCCAAGGAGGCCATGCTGGCGCTGGGCGGCCCGCCCAGGCCCTCAGGAGAGGGTGAAGGTCCAGGACAGGGATCGGGCGCGGCCCGCCACCACTTAAACCCGCGCGCGCCACCAGAGGCTGCCCCAGACCTCAAAGGGCTTTGTTTCCATCCCACCCCCATCGCCGAAAAGTAATCGTCGCCTTACCTTTAAGTCCCCACCTGGCAAAGAAGGTCCTTAGTTCCTCCACCTCCAGCTCTCTCCTCCGTATTCTGGAGGTGACCCAGCTGCGGTGGGGGCGTGGGAGATGTCAGGAGACCACTGGGTTGGTTCTTCCTGCACCTAGCCCAGGCTTCGTTAGGACTCCAGCTCCCTGTCAGTCCTGCCCATATCCCAGTCAGGAGACAATATCCAAACCAACCCCTTACTTCACCAGTGCTCCAGGGGAGGCCCACAGTTCTTCCCTTGAGACTGAAATGCTACCAAGGAAGCCTCCGTGTCAGGTCCCTTCCTTCTGGGCTTCACTTTTCCATCTGAGAGCTGGGTGCAAAGGATGGGCTGCTTTCTGATGGGTTAATCGAGACGAGGTTCCCAGGGGCCTCTCAGCACACTTGCCTGACTAACCCTTTCCGGAGGATGGGATCTGGGTAAGGCAGGCCCTTTCCTGTTCAGCAGCAGGGATGAGTTACAGCTCTGTAGGCGGGAGCCACCTGTCAGCCCCCCCGGGGCTGGTGACTCCATTCCCAGCAGGCCGAAACTCTGGTCCAGAGGAGATAGTCCGGCCTTGGAAGTTTTGCCTCCTTCCTTCATTTGTCTCCTAATGTCTTAAGCTGCCTGTCCACAGAGGCACTGGCTTTGCTTGTGTGCCCCTCCGGGCAGGCCACAGGAGGGAGGAGGCAGTAAGGACCTGGCAAAACTGCAAGCCCCAGGGCTAAGTGCATGAAAGGTGGGAATTCAGGCATCTGGGCCAGGCTTCTAGGGGAGAAGCTGTAAAAGGGGGCAAGGGTCTTCTGCGCCATCACCAGCATTAGCCAACAGTCCAGATGCTAGCTGCAGCCTGGCCCTGCCCTGCCTTCCTTCCTCTGTCCAACATTTTCTCAGTAGCCCTGGAGATGGAAAGGGAAGCTCCTCCCCCACAGAGAAGGAGCTCAGAGTTAGAAATAAACAAAAACATCCCAGAGGCATGGAAAGGTCTCCTGCCCCTCGGGCTGGGGGGCCCTGGGCCAGGGACTTTATCTCCATGGCATCCATCCCTTGGACCTGTACCACCGAATACTCTGGAGGACACAGAGGCATGGCAATGGTGGGGCACCTGTAGTCGGTGGTGCCTCAACAGGGGCTAAAAGCCACATCTCTCTGTTCCAGTGTCAGCGGCCGGAGCGGCAGCTCAGCAAGTGGTGGACCAGGCCACAGAGGCGGGGCAGAAAGGTCTGGTGGGGCTGGAGGGAGGCGGGCAACCCCAGCACACCTCCCACTCCCCGCCCCATCCCGGCTGGGGCCCAGGCACATCCTCTCCTCTGCAGAGCCCTCTGTCCACAATGCCCCAAGCAGGTCCCCCGGGAGACCCAGGCCAGGCTAAGCCTACAGGCACTGTGGTTCCCGGGCCCTGCCTGACCTGCCCTCTCTCCCGCCCTTCCCCAGCCATGGACCAGCTGGCCAAGACCACCCAGGAAACCATCGACAAGACTGCTAACCAGGCCTCTGACACCTTCTCTGGGATTGGGAAAAAATTCGGCCTCCTGAAATGACAGCAGGGAGACTTGGGTCGGCCTCCTGAAATGACAGCAGGGAGACTTGGGTGACCCCCCTTCCAGGCGCCATCTAGCACAGCCTGGCCCTGATCTCCGGGCAGCCACCACCTCCTCGGTCTGCCCCCTCATTAAAATTCACGTTCCCACCCTGTGTCCACTTCATGATTCCTCGCAAGCTGGGCCCAGTCCTCTCATCCCAAGAGCAGAGCCACCGTAGCCGGAGTCCTAGCCTCCCAAATTCGGAAATCCAATCCAACGGTCTCAGGAATGTTTTCCATCCCGCCACGCGCCTCCCGAAGCTCCCAGACCGGAGGCTCAGCCCCCATCTCGGTTAGTGCCCCTCTCCCGCCCGACTTTAGAGCCAGCCCCTGCCCCTTATTCCCTGCCCCAGGATCCCGGCCCCTCCTGGGAGCTGGGCTGGACTCGGTCCTCAGATCCTCGGAAGGCTCAGCTCTGGGCGGGGCAAGGGACCTTGCAAGTCGGGGGGGCCTCGGGAACTTCTCTCCGCCAGCTGCGACTGGAGGCTGGGAACAGGGGAGACGACCCAGGGCCACGGCCCCTCAGGACTTCAGGCGGCCGGAGGTTGTGGGGACGAAGCGGAGTCGGGAGCCGGGCTTCCGGCCCTCACTACCCCGTCTCGGCCCGCGGGTTGCCTGCGTGCCCGCCCCACCCAGCGGTGAGTCATGGGGCAGGGCCCGCGGGAAGCTTTGTTGAGTGGGGCGCTGCCGCCCGGCGGGGTCCCGCCCCGCCACTCCCCGGGGAGGGGCTTCGGGGCACGGGGCCGTGCACGTGAGAACGAAGCACGGTTGTGGGGGGGGCATGCACGTGCGCGCTCGCGTGCGGGAGACCCCTCCCTTCCACACCACTTCCTTTCGGGACAAACCGGTAACCTCCGGCCCTGGAAGGTTTTGTCTAGTGGGTTCCGGATGGACTGGTGTTCCCAGCACCCCCCCGGCACGTGTCCACGCGTGTGGCCCCGGTACGGTGTATGCCTTGCCAGTAGGTGACTCAACGTGGCACTGGTTGAGCGCCGGATGAGGCCTGGCCCTGGCGCGGGGCGTGGGCTGCTGCGGCCCTTTCCTCCCCGCGCCCCTCACGCCCCAGCGGGCCCCTAGCGGTTCCCGTCCACCCGCTCCATGTCTTTACCCCGGTACTACCTCCACCTGCAGTCGCCTCCTCCTGCGCGCCAGTGGCCTCTGCGTTTCTGTTGAAAGGTACCGACTACGCGGTGCTTCCCAGTTCTGAGGCGATTTAGTCAGCGGACTCAAGGCGCGCTCCCTGCCTTCCCCGGCCTCCCAGCAGGGGACGAAGTCCCCAACCTGGCTGCCAGTCCAGATGCTGCAGTACAGGTCTGCCTAGGAGGCCGTTCCCTTCTCCAGTCTGAGATCTCCCTCGCGGGGCACGTGTCTACCACCCTTAACCCAGGGCTGCCCTGGTTCCACTATCGGTTACATGTTGCTGACTGTCCCCAAAAGGTTTCTTTGTAGAATGTGGGAAAGTCCTTGAAGAGACACCCGGAGCAGTGTCAGGGGCGCTTCCAGGAGCCCCTGCCTCCAGGAGCAGGTCCTAGGGTCTGGAGAGCCGGCCTCAGGGCCACTCCAGGAGGCTGGTGGGGCTGGACTGGCAGAGCCCAGCATCCTTCTGGTGTGCATCATTCCCCTATGACTCAGGGATGAATCCCAAGGGACTTTTCACTTGTTCTCCTTGTGAGTGATCGCCTTAAGTGCGACCCAGGTGCGGCCAAGGAGAGAGATCAGGCCTGAGGCCAGGAGTCTTCTAGAAAAGGCTTTTCTTGTCTTGAAGGCGGGGCATGGTGGCTCAGCCTGTAATCCCAGCACTTTGGGAGGCTGAGGCGGGAGAATGACTTGAGACCGGGAGGTCGAGGACCGCTGCACTCAGTCTGGGCAACAGAGTGAGACCCTGTCTCAGAAAAAAAAAAAAAAGCCGCCCTTCATCTTCCTCTGGACACCTTGTGGCTGGAAAGGAACCCTAGAACCAGCCACTTGGAACCACAGGAGGAACAAGTCTGAGGAACAAGTCTAAGGAAAAGCCCACCTGCTGATGAGGGCAGAGCCTCCCAGACCTCCAGCCTGTTCCCACAACACCCCCTCCCTTCCATCTCAGCCACCTTGACCTTCCCATCATGCTCCTGCTGCCTCGGTATCTTCACACCTGCGGCATTTTCTGCCTGGCATACTCTCCATAAATCACCCTTGCCTATTGCTCTTCCAAACGTCAGGTCTCAGCGGCCTTGGGTGTGCCGACACACACACACACACACACACACACACACAATATGCATCAGGCCCCTGGTGACACATTCTCACACCCCCTGTACCTCCTTTTTAGAGTCACAATGAGCCTTCATGTGTGCTTCTCCATAGTGGTGGTTCATGGGGCTGTAACCAGTCCCTTTTTAGTGCATGCTCTGTGTCTTCTGCGGTGCTCAGGCAGCACTGGCTAAATGATTGCATGGAGGACCATCCTTTTGTTCTCCTGATGGATGACAGTGAGTTCTCATTTTCAGGTTTACCATGGAACCATCTCTGCAATGCAGCCCCTTCCACATTGCCCCAGCCCCATGGAGCTGGTGCTCCGGTGGCGCTGTGCAATTGCCTGTTCCTGTGTGCCTCTGCTCCCCCGACACTAGGAGCCCTGGAGGGCAGGGCCAGGTGGGACTTGCCTTTTGAACCATGTCTGGGACACAGAGGGCACAGAGCCAGTGTCTCTGTAATAGGTCCCTTGCCTGATGGCAGGGCAAGTCCATACACCCGAAACACCGGGTTGCAGCAGAAGAAAGAGGTTTAGTCGCAGGGCTGCCAGACAAGATGGGAGAAAACCTCAAATCTCTCTCCGAGAAGTTTGGGGTTAGGGTTCTTAAGAGTTTTAGAGCAGGCCAAAGTGTGGAGATTGTTGATTTGTTGAAGAGTGCGGAGTGAAGTCATGGGGCCAGGGAGATGAAAAAACTGTATTCTCATGCTGATTATGTTCTTCTGGGCTGTTCAAACTGGTTGGGGTCACTTGTTTCACTGGAATTTGGAATCTGAAAAACATTTTAGGCTGGATGCGGTGGCTCATTCCTGTTTTCCCAGTACTCTGAAGGCCAAGGTGGGCGGATCATCTGACGTTAGGAGTTCGAGACCAGCCTGGCCACATAGTGAAACCCTGTCTCTACTAAAAATACAAAAATTAGTCGGGTTTGGTGGCGTGCGCCTGTAATCCCAGTTACTTGGGAGGCTGAGGCAGGAGAATTGCTTGAACCTGGGAGGTGGAGGTTGCTGAGCCAAGATGGTGCCGCTGCACTCCAGCCTGGGCGACAGAGTGAGACTCTGTCTCGGAAAAAAAAAAACTGAAAAAACAAACGAAAAAAACGTTTTAAGGAATTCCTAAACAAAAGCCTATGATTCTAACATCAGAAAGCCGAACTGTGGGAACAGTGGGGATGCAGATGGTCAGTATACAGTGCCACGGGAAGTTCTATAGAAGGAATTTAGTTAAAGCACAGCCTCATTAATGCTTAATTATAACTGTTAATTTTTAATTATAACTGTTAATGCTTAATTATAACTATATTTCTGTGTAGAATGCTTGTTAACCCTGTGAGGACAGCTTCACCAGAGGAGCCCTTGGGAGCTTATACTGCCCAGGCCTGTCTCCACCAGGTTCATGGAGCAAGTACAGCCCAGACTGGCTGAGGAGGAAGGATTGTGGCCACACTACACCTATTGGGTGTCAGTCAGTCCTCCAGAGATCAATTCTTCCATTAGCAATGCCACACATAATTCCTAATTCTCCAAATTCCAGTTCCCCATCTAGCCAAACACACAGTCACTAACATTACATTGTGGTTCCACTTACAAATGACTGCATTTTCAGGTGGAGGTGTTCCCTTAAACCATTTTCTCTGGATGGCGTTCCTTCCTCCCTCTTCTTCTTCATCCCCATTTTCAGTCCGTAGGATGAGCTTCTTTGTATGTAATCTCCCAAACGTCTACCGCTGGAGTTCTCAGCTTTGACCCCCATCAGACTACACATGAGGCAGGGTGCAGATTCTTCCACTTTCACCTCCTCTCCCCTTCTCTCCCTCCGCCGCCTTTTTAAAAAATGTTACTTGTCCCATTTCTACATTGTGAAAACACGTAGAGTTGCATTCCATTCCTCAGCCCTGAACCACACCTTTGTTTTTGTCTTGGATCTGCAATTGAAGATATTAAAAGCTGTTTGCCATTCCTTCTGCTGAATATTTTCTGCTATCTCTTGGTTGGTTAGAATTAGTCCTGCAGAGTCTTCTCTCTCTCTCTCTCTCTCTCTTTTTTTTTTGAGACAGAGTATCACTCCTGTTACCCAGGCAGGAGTGCAGTGGCACAGTGTCCGCTCACTGCAACCTCCACCTCCCAGGTTCAAGCAGTTCTTCTGCCTCAGCTTCCGGAATAGCTGGGATTACAGGTGCCTGCCACCACGCCTGGCTAATTTTTGTATTTTTAGTAGAGATGGGGTTTCACCATTTTGGCCAGGCTGGTCTCAAATACCTGATCTTAGGTGATCCATCAGCCTTGGCCTCCCAAAGTGCTGGAAGTACAGGTGTGAGCCACCGCACCCAGCCCAGAGTCTTCTCAAGAATGAAATAGTTAAAGATGATAAATGTTTACAGAGATAAGACATCTGATATCTGAGTTAATAATTTCTATAACTGGGTAATGGGTCCATGAGGGTTCATTTTATTTATATATATATATATATTTATTTATTTATTTATTTATTTTTTTGAGACAGAGTCTTCCTCTGTTGCCCAGGCTGGAGTGCACTGGCATGATGTCGGCTCACTGCAGCCTCCGTCTCCTGGGTTCAGGCGATTCTCCTGTCTCAGCCTCCTGTCTCAGCTCATGCCTGTAGCTGGGATTGCAGGCATGTGCCACCATGCCTGGCTAATTTTTGTATTTTTAGTACAGACAGGGTTTCACTATGTTGGCCAGACTGGTCTCGAACTCCTGACCTCAGGTGATCCTCCCACCTCAGCCTCCTGAAGTGCTGGGATTACAGTCGGGAGCCACCGTGCCCGGCCCATTATATTCTATTTTTGTGTATGACATTTTCTATTTTTAAAACGGTAAAAAAGTTAAAATAAAAATTTTATAAAAAGAAGGGCTTATGTGAACAGTATTCTGATTTTTAAATGTTTGGTTGGTATTGTTAGTCTGTAGCCTTTAGACTTTATCCCTGGCTGGGTTTGAGGTTTGTGGCTCCCTCTTCAGCTTCAGTGTCTTCTAGGTGTGGCTGCAACTGCCTTCTGGCACAGAAGGTTGAGCAGACCCTACATGTCTGATGCACACTGAAATTTCTTTTTTTATTTTTAATTTTAATTTATTATTTATTTTGAGATGGGGGTCTCACTATGTTCCCCAGGCTGGTCTCAAACTCTTGGCCTCAAGCAGTCCTCCCACCTTGGCCTAACAAAGGGCTGGGATTACAGGTGTGAGCCGCTGCACCAGCTCCCTACTGGAATTTTTTTTTGTAGAGACAGGGAGGGTCTGGCTCTGTCACCCAGATTGGAGTGCAGTGGCCTGATCATGGCTCCCTGCAGCCTCAAACTCCTGGCCTCAAGCAATCCTCCTACCTCAGCCTCCCAAGTAGCTGGGATTACAGGTGTGTGCCACCATGCTCAGCTAATTAAAACAAATTTTTTTTTGTAGAGGTGGAGTCTCACTATGTTGTCCAGGCTGATGTCAAACTCCTGAGCTCAAGTGATCCTCCCACCTCAGCCTCCCCACAGCACTGGGATTACGGGTGTGAGCCACTGTGTCCAGACTCCTGCAGGAATTTCTAATAAGCAACATGATATTTCTGGCTTGTTTTCTTTCTTTAAGTTTAAAGTACAATAATTTTTCTAGAGTTTGTCTCAATGATTATGGCTCTGGTTCATTGTTGCCTGGTGTGCAGTTTGCCCTTTGAATACTAATTCAAGGCTGGGCGTGGTAGCTCAGGCCTGTAATCCCAGCACTTTGGGAGGCTGAGGTGGGAGGATAGCTTGAGCTCGGGAGTTTTAGATCAGACTGGGTGACAGTGATACCCCATCTCTACAAAAAATAGGAAAAGTATCCAGGTGTGGTGGTGCACGCCTGTAGTCCCAGCTACTTAAGAAGGCTGAAGTGGGAGGATCCCTTGAGCCCAGGAGTTGAAGGCTGCAGTGAGCCATGATTGCGCTACTGCACTCCAGCCTGAGTGGCAGAGTGAGATCCTATCTCAAAAAAAAAAAAAAAGTATATATGTATGTGTGTGTGTGTGTATATATGTGTGTGTATATATATGTGTGTGTATATATATGTGTGTGTGTATATATATGTGTGTGTGTGTGTGTGTGTGTATGTACCTGTGTATGTGTGGTGTATGTATACATATACATATATACCCAGAAGACAGATTGTTGGATCATAAGTTAGCTCTATATTTAATTTTTTGAGGAATCCCCATAGTGTTTTTCTTTCTTTCTTTCCTTCTTTCTTTTTTTAGACCAGGTCTTGCACTGTTGCCCAGGCTGGAGTGCAATGGCACGATCTCAGCCCACTGCAACCTCTGCCTCCTGGGTTCACGCAATTCTCCTGCCTCAGCCTCCCGAGTAGCCGGGATGACAGGCACACACCACCACACCCGCTAATTTTTTTTTTTTTTTTTAGTAGAGATGGGGTTTCACTATGTTGGCCAGACTGGTCTTGAACTCCTGACCTCGTGATCTGCCCGTCTCGGCCTCCCAAAGTGCTGAGATTACAGATGTGAGCCACCACGCCTGGCCTTCCATGGTGTTTTTCATAATGGCTATATCAATTTGCATTCCCACTAATAGTGTACAAGGGTTCCCTTTTCTCCACATTCTCACCAACACTTATCTTTTGTCTTTTTTTTTTTTTTAGAGATGAGGTCTCCCTGTGTTGCCCAGGCAGGAGTGCAGTGGCTGTTCACAGGTGTGAACATAGCACACTATGGCCTCGAACTCCTGGGCTCAAGTGATCCTCCTGCCTCAACCTCTGGAGTAGCTAGGACTATAGGCATGCACCACTGTGCCCAGCTCCTGCATAATTGTATTTTAAAATATTTGCTCTGTTCCATTGCTCAGCTTTCTTCTTTGGGAATTCCAAGTGTGAGTATGAAGTTCTTTTCTTCCTACTTTCCATATCTACTGTTGTCTCCCAAATACTGTGTATCTTTTTCATTCCTTTTTTTCTTTACTTTTTCCATTTCTGTTCTATAGGCATCTACGGTGGTATCTACCTTCTTGTGCTTCTTATCTGCCATGGTTTGTTTAGTCTTTTTTCTTCTATTCATTTCTGAGATATATTTCTCTTCTGCCTGCTCTTGCTGTCTGGCCATCTCCTCTCAGAGTTCTGGCAACTGCTTTACAGTCTTCCTTCATAACAGCTGTTGTTTATTAAGTGTCTTCTTTTCTTCCTAAAATTCATGTTGGAATGTTGACTATTCTTTTTCCATATTTAAAAATAGTATGTTTTTACTCTTAACTAGAAAAAAGGGAAGGGGAGAAGTATATATCTATGGTATGCTGTCTTTCTGTAAGAAAGAGAGGATGGGCCGGGCACAGCGGCTTATGCCTGTAATCCCAGCACTTTCGGAGGCCGAGGCAGGCAGATCACGAAGTCAGGAGTTGGAGACCAGCCTGGTCAACATGGTGAAACTCCATCTCTACTAAAAATACAAAAATTAGCCGGGCGTGATGGCACACACCTGTTGTCCCAGCTACTTGGGAGGCTGAGGCAGGAGAATCGCTTGAACCCAGGAGGCGGAGGTTGCAGTGAGCTGAGACCGTGCCACTGCACTCCAGCCTGGGTGACAGAGTGAGAATCCATCTCCAAAGAAAAAAAAAAAGGATTAAAGAAAATACAATGTCTCTGTTTATTTGTAGAAAGTGCAGGAAGGCCAGTCACAGTGGCTAATGCCTGTAATCCTAGCACTTGCTGAGGTGGGCGGGTCACTTGAGGCCAGGAGTTTCAGACCAGCCTGGCCAACATAACAAAATACTGTCTCTACTAAAAATACAAAAATAAGCCAGGTGTGGTGGCACGTGCCTATAATCCCAGCTACTCAGGAGGCTAAGGCATGAGAATCGCTTGAACCTAGGAGGGAGAGGTTGCAGTGAGTCAAGATTGTGTCACTGCACTGCAGCCTAGGTGACAGAGCAAGACTCTGCCTTAAAAAAAAAAAGTGCAAGAAGGATAAACTAGGAAATAAAGGGATTGGGGGATTGGTTACCTATAGGGGGCAGGTGGCAAAGGGGTGGAAAGAGGGAGCGAATGGGAACAGGCTAACAGGGATAAGAAGAGAGTGACACTTATCTGAATATATCTTTTTTTGTGGTTCTCAGAACCATAGTAATGTTCTTATACTCAAAATATAGACAAAGCAATTAAAACCAACCAGAATATAGGGGAGGGAAGTACCCAAAATGGAATACAAACACTAAAAAGTGAACCTAACTCTACTACAAATGAAAATAACCACACTCAAAAGAAAAAATTCAAGTAACCTTGAAAATCAGTATGTTGACTGGATTCTGTAGGGTTAAATGCAGCAAACACTCTCCATACATTCTGTAATCTAGTCAGTAAATGTATACTTTCTCATAGGATTGTGGGTAAGCAATTCTGAGACAACTTTATATAGTAGAATTGAATGCATAAGTAAGTGTATCATAAATAATAAGAACTGGGTTTGTCACTATTGGATAAAGAAATTAAAATAAAAACCAGGGAACCCTCTTCCAGTACCCCATGTGGTGTTGTATTGGAATCTGAGGTATCAATATAAACTCAGGATTTTTAATTTTTGTACTAATAAATGCAGAAATATAGCTGGGCACAGTGACTCATGCCTATAATCCCAGCACTTTGGGAAGCCTGAAGTGGGCGGATCACTTGAGCTCAAGAATTGAAGACCAGCTTGGGCAATATGGTGAAACCCCATCTCCACAGGAGTGGAGGAAAAACCAGGCAGAGGGACCCCCAGGACATTGAGGGGCTCTGGCCGCTGTATGGGACACGCTTCTGGAAACTTGCCCCTAATAGGGCATCAAAGCCAGGCAGGCAGGGGCTCCTCTGTCAGAGGTTGGAAGCCAGGACTGCATCTTCCCATCTTACTTTTGGGATGCAGGTCAGCTGTTTTCCCTCAGATGAGAGGTTCCAATTTTTTGTTTGTTTAGTTTTTGAGACAGAGTCTCGCTCTGTCACCTAGGCTAGAGTGCAATGGCGCTATCTTGGCTTAGTGCAACCTCTGACTCCCGGGTTCAAGCAATTCTCCTGCCTCAGTCTCCCGGGTAGCTGGGATTACAGGCACACACCACCATGCCAGGCTAATTTTTGTATTTTTAGTAGAGATGGGATTTCACCATGTTGGTCAGGCTGGGAGGTTCCAATTTTATAAGATGAGAAGAAGGGCTGAGGTCATGCCCATTCTGCCACTTTGCTGAGTCCAGAGCTATGATGAAGTGAAGAAGAAGGCACAGGGCAGGACAAAGAAGGGAGCTCAGGGACCCGGGAGTTTTCCTTGGCAGAAGTCAACTTGCCCCACCCCTGAGAAAACTCTGACCTTCTCAGCTGCCAGGGAGGAACGCAGGGACTGGGGAGGAGGGGACAGGGAGGGGAACAGTCTGCTGCTCTGTGCCCTGGGAGAGAAGTCTGATGACGGCAGTAACTCAGGAAGGGTTAAGAATATTCCTAAAATAGCCAAGCCACAGTCTAAGCCAGTCCATGAGCAGAGAGCAGATCTGTAGCAGGAAAAGTCAGCCTGATCTTTGCCCCACTGCCTGCTGCCTAGCCCTGGCTGCTAATTAAGCCTCCTACCCTGTCCCCTTCACCAATTCCTCTTGTCCTAGTGGGGATGGGGTAGGAGTAGTCAGAGGAGCCAAATCACCCCAATCAACAGGGAACTACAGCTGGGACCAGGAGCACTGGGCCCAGTGGCCCCCCAATCCACACTCCTGGTCTGAGAGTCAGGTAGGGGGACATAGGGAGAAAGACAGGCAAAGTGCAGGCTTTGTGCATGGGATGGAGGCTGCCAAGAGAGAGCAGCCAAATTCTCCCACCCACACACATGCATCGCCAGCCATGATCAGGTGGGACCTCCAAGATCATCATCAGATACCGCCTTCTCCTAGCTCTGTGTTCCCCTACACTTAGGGCATCTTGGAGTGAGACAGGCAGGGAGGGGTTGAGGGAGCCCCTACATGAACAAACCATATCTTTGTTTCAGGGGCAGGACCAGGTATATAATTTGCAGGACCCAATGCGAACTGAAAATGTGGAGTCTGTCATTCAAAAATTGTTAAGAATTTCAAGGCAGTGACAACAGAGCATTAAACCAAGTTCAGGTCCCCTCTGAGTGTGGGGCTTTTGCCACTGCACAGGTGGCACCTTTATGAAGCCATCCTTGTGCAGGGATTTGGTTTAATGAACATTTACTAAGCGCCCACTACTCAGCTCTTCTGGCTCTGTAACATGGTCTGGCTCTGTGTCCGCACTCAAATGTCATTTTGAATTGTAATCCCCATGTGTTGGGGGAGGGACCTGTGGGACGTGATTACATCATGGGAGTGGTTCCCACATGCTGTTCTCGTGATAGTGAGTGAGTTCTCCTGAGATCTGATGGTTTTATAGGGGGCCTTTTCCCTCTTCATTCTGCACTTCTCTCTCCTGCTGCCATGTGAAGGACGTGTTTGCTTCCCCTTCCACCATGATTGTAAGTTTCCTGAGGCCTCCCCAGCCATGTGGAACTGTGAATCAATTAAACGTCTTTCCTTTGATTAACTTCTAATCTATAACTAAGGTCTGAGTCCTGAAGACCTTCCTCTGGAGCCTCAGTAAATTTATTTTATCTAGATGGGTCCAGGTGCTGCAGGTGATTACCCTTATCTTGTCTCCTGCAAAATCATGGAGGTTTGGGGAATTCTTTAGACTTCCTCTCGTGTGGAGGTTTGTTTTCTTCTTTTTTCTTTCCTGCAAGGACAAAGTGAATTCTGTGATGGTTTATGTATCATTTTTGAGTTTATTGCCAAAAATTGAGGCTCAAGTTTGTAGACTACATTTTTAAATAAAATAAAACTTTCTAGACACAGAAATGTAGGTGAAGCTGTTCCTTTGATACCATTTTCCGAATTTACACAGAGGTGATAGCAAATTTTTCTCTTTATCTTTCCTTGAATTGTATATATGCATATAAATGCTCTTAAATTCTTAGTGCAACAGGGTGGATTGTCATTACAGAGAACGTTCTTAGCATAGAGTACAAATCTTCCCACTGCTGACTAGGCTCTGGTCACATAGCACCCCGAGCTGGCCTTCAACTTCCACTTCTCGGTTCTTTTGCTTACCTTCTCTATTTCTAGAATGGCTTTGTCATTTCACTTGTCTGTCTGGTAATATCCTACTCCTGTAAGAATCAGTGAGTTCTTGGTACATACTGATCTAAATTTGCCTCCGGTTTGAACCTTTTTCCAGTTTTCCAGGTAAAGTTGATTTATCTGTCTTCTATGTTTCCATAACAATCTTTCCAAGCATAATACAGTAAAAAGAGAGCTGATTCATCATGTCCTGTCCATTTCCCTCTGGAGACTTTGGAGCCGACGTGAGGGTACAGGTGTGCCCCTGTATAAGATCTTTGGTCGCCTTTGTCAAGTTTAGCGCAGTTCTCAGTGTGTAATTGTTATCAGGTGCCATTAAACTGGACCTGAATAATTGAAGGATTCAAAGTGTTCAGGAATCACCCAGGATGCTTCAATACTTCATCCTAATTAGGGATATGGGGAAAGTTTGCATGAGAAAGAAGTTTTTTTTTTTTTTTGAACTTTAAGGATAAGTTAAAATTCAGTAGGCAGAATGACAATCTTGATAATTTTTTATTTTTTATTTTTATTTATTTATGTTTTTTTTTGAGACAGAGTCTCGCTCTGTCGCCCAGGCTGGAGTGCAGTGGTGCCATCTTGGCTCACTGCAACCTCTGCCTCCTGGGTTCAAGTGATTCTTTTGCGTCAGCCTCCCGAGTAGCTGAGACTGCAGGCATCCGCCACCACACCCGGCTAATTTTTGTATTTTTAGTAGAGATGGTGTTTCACCATATTAGCCAGGCTGGTCTCAAGCTGCTGACCTCATGATCCGCCTGCCTTGGCCTCCCAAAGTGCTGGGATTACAGGCATGAGCCACCACGCCCAGCCATTTTTTATTTTAAAATGTTCATTTTTTACTATTTTGATACAATAACTATTTTTTAAGAAAAGGCAGAAATCACTGTTTATTAGAAGGCAGATTTTACTGATTTTTATACCCCTAGATTTGTTGCATGTCAAACCTATATAAAACATCTATAAATCAAATCGTTAATTGCCCCTAGTGTAATAATTCTATATATGGATGTAATGTTTGAATCTTCAGGAGCTTTGATAACTTGAAGGCCTTTTGATTGCTTTAAAATTAATTCTCATTGTATTTGTTTATATTGTATCGTTAAGCAAAAGTACAGAGTAAGCAATTAGTGTGATTAATTCCTCTTCTATAATACAGTAAAGCACTGCCTCCCTAGACCAATTCTCTGGGATCCCTGGAAGACATCTGGCATCCAGCAAGTCTTGACCCCTCTTTAGAAAGCCATGGAGAAACTGGAGGCAATTCTGTTAAGTATTCGCTCTCTAGAGGCAATTCCATTAATTACCCTCCCTCACCTATCCATGACACAATTTCTCCAGTTACATGTAGAAGGCTGTTATGTGTCTCTTGGCCAGACCCTTTATTTCATAGATGTGGAAATTGAGGCCCTGAAGGATGAGGTGAGTGTTCAGAGTCCACATGACTAGTTAATGCCCAGAACCTGGCCTGGACTTCTTTCTTGTTCCGGGGCATTGAGTTCTCTCCCTCTTCTTTAGCACGTATGGCCAGAGGTAACATAATCTGCGCATCACATTTGCATTTGGAGTGCATCTGTTTTGCATTCATTTAATCTTGTTGAGATGGTTTGCTTGTTGACCTACTCAGTCAGTTATCTTTTCACCTTTGTGAGTTGAGAGCTTTGTGTATTAAGTCTGTAAAACTTTGCATCTTGGAAAGTGACATAATCTGTAGCAGACCCATGCTGTTTTCAGATGCATCTTAATTGTGATAGTGATAGTGATCCAGGAGATACACATGTTTTTCTGTGCTATTTCAGAATACGCCTTCTTAATCCAAGTCAAGATGGAGTCAAAAACAACAGACTACTACATTTTTGTTTATTTTATTTAGGTAAAATACCTGTTTTCTGACAAGACTAGGACTCTTACATAGACTGCCATGAACTACAAGAAGTATAGCATTGCTCAAATAACCTGTGGTAAGTGTATTTATCACTTATTGAACATTTTACTTGCATTCTTTCTACAAAATGAGTTTATTTTTAGCTATTGAGTCAAATTATCTTGACTTTCTGATGTTTTGATAGAATATTTATAATAGATTTAGGTATTTCGTTCATATTGAATGTTTTTAAAACTAAATGGGTCCCAAAGGAAACTGAACAGTTAAAACATGATTTACTTTTGCAAATATTAACCTAATGAGAAATCCCAGGGAATCTGCACATTTGTGTTTTCTATCTAGCAATTATTAATTTCTTAGTGTATGTTTTGATCCAACTTTTTTTTTAATATATGCTAGCAGATTTTTCTAAGCTTTCTTAAAACTGTCATAAAATATTTGTAATACTAAGGTCAAGAATTTAATTTGGTATCATAGATCTAACTCATTAACTGTATTTATTTATTTATTATACTTTAAGTTGTAGGTTACATGTATACAACGTGCAGGTTTGTTACATATGTATACATGTGCCATGTTGGTGTGCTGCACCCATTAACTCATCATTTACATTAGGTATATCTCCTAATGCTATCCCTCCCCCTCACCCACCCCACGACAGGCCCTGGTGTTCTCCATCCTGTGTCCAAGTGTTCTTTGTTCAGTTCCCACCTATGAGTGAGAACATGAGGTGTTTGGTTTTTCTCTCCTTGCGATAGTTTGCTCAGAATGATGGTTTCCAGCTTCATCCATGTCCCTACAAAGGACATGAACTCATCCTTTTTATGGCTGCATAGTATTCCATGGTGTATATGTGCCACATTTTTTTAATCCAGTCTATCATTGATGGACATCTGGGTTGGTTCCAAGTCTTTGCTATTGTGAATAGTGCCGCAGTAAACATACGTGTGCATGTGTCTTTATAGCAGCATGATTTATAATCCTTTGGGTATATACCCAGTAGTAGGATGGCTGGGTCAAATGGTATTTCCAGTTCTAGATCCTTGAGGAATCGCCACACTGTCTTCCACAATGATTGAACTAGTTTACAGTCCCACCAACAGTGTAAGAGTGTTCCTATTTCTCCACATCCTCTCCAGCACCTGCTGTTTCCTGACTTTTTAATGATTGCCATTCTAACTGGTGTGAGATGGTATCTCATTGTGGTTTTGATTTGCATTTCTCTGATGGCCAGTGATGATGAGCATTTTTTCATGTGTCAGACTGTCTTTTGATCACAGTTTTGTGACCACTCTGTTTTCCCTTTCTCTGGCAGTCACTTCCCGGAATTGACAAGGAATTCATCCTCAGGTGATTTCTGCTAAGTAAATCCTAGCACTTCTTGACACTTTAGAAAAGGCTTTGGAATAATTTTATATTAGCATTTCTCACCTGCATATTTTTACATGTAAATACAAGTTGTGTATACATTACTTTGAAAGAGAACCAGGATAAAATTTAAAGAAACATGGTTTTAGAAGTCCAATGGTAGTATAAGACTTCACAAAAAACAGACTGCTCTTGATTCAGTACTTCCTACTTACTCTCCAGATGCAGCCAACTTCAACAATTTTTACTTTTAAAAAAATCTCTTTTTAGATTTCAAAATAATATGTTTATGTGTGTGACCTGTCTCTCCCCCATCCTGCCCTACTCTGGCTTTACCCCCTGTAGAAGCATTTAAAATTTTCTGCATATCCTTAGCATATACTGTTGCAATTATGGGGTAGGCTTTTTTTTTTTTTTAATTTGTGCATTTAATGAACCCGTAGTGGTACATGTCTGTTTTTCTTGTTAATTCTTGGGAATGTCTTTCTGTTGTTTCTATAATAATTTTCTTCCCCTCCAGCTTCCCTGTTTCTTCTGAGTCTCTTGTTAGATATTGAACCTCTTGAGTTGATCTAATTTTTGTCATCTTCCTCTCTCATTTTTTGTATTTTGTGTTTAATTTTCTGGTATCTAATTCACCTTGATTTTCTATCTTTCTGGCGACATTTTCTTTTTTTTTTTTTTTTTTTTTTTTTGAGACGAAGTCTCGCTCTGTGGCCCAGGCGGGAGTACAGTGGCGCAATCTCGGCTCACTGCAAGCTCCGCCTCCAGGGTTCACGCCATTCTCCTGCCTCAGCCTCCCGAGTAGCTGGGACTACAGGCGCCCGCCATCACGCCCGGCTAATTTTTTTGTATTTTTAGTAGAGACGGGGTTTCACCATGTTAGCCAGGATGGTCTCGATCTCCTGACCTCGTGATCTGCCCGCCTCGGCCTCCCAAAGTGCTGGGATTACAAGCGTGAGCCACCGCGCCCGGCCTCTGGCGACATTTTCATATGCTCTCACTTTTCAGTTGTCAAAAGTGTTCTCTTGACCTTGCCCTTGCATTCTGTTTTCTCTGCCCACCTCTTCGATTCTCCCCATTGCCGCCTGGTGTTTTGGTTTCTTAATTTTATTTTATAGGCTTTCTTCAAAGGCCTGGTGATCATTTGCTGTGTGCTTATATATTTTTATTTTTTCACTGGGCAAAATACATGTAACATAAAATGTATCATATTAACTATTTTAAGTGTACAATTCAGTTGCTTTAACTGTATTCATAATGTTTTGCAATGATTTCCACCATTCCATTCTACAACTTTTTCATGTGAAGCTCTGTACCTGTTAAACAGTAATTCCTAACTCCAGTCGTCTTCCAGTCCCTGTTAACCACCATTCTACTTTCTGCCTCTATGACTTTGCCTATCTTAGGTACCTCAGATAAGTGGAATCATACAGAATTGTCTTTTTGTGTTTGGCTTATTTCCCGTAGCATAAGGTATTCAAGGTTTCATTGTTCATCCACATTGTGGAATGCGTCAGAATCTCCTTCCTTTAAAAAGGAATAATATTCTAATAATATTCCATTGCGTGCATATATCACATTTGTTTATCTATTCATCTACCGGTGGGTATGGTGTTGCTTCCACCTTCCAGCTACTGTGAGTAACGCTGCTGTGAACATTGCTATACAAATATCTTTTTGGGTCCCTGCATTTAATTCTTGGGGCTATATACCTCAAAATGGAATTACTGGGTCATACCATAATTCTGTGTTCAACTTTTTGAGGAACCACCATGCTGCTCTCTAGAGCAGACCACCACTTTACACTACTATTAGTAATGCACAAAGGTTTCGTTTTCTCCATATCCTTGTCAACACTTGTTATGTTCCATCTTTTGTTTGTTTGCATTATAATAGCCATTTTAATGGGTGTGAAGTTGTACCTCCTTGTGGTCTTGCTTTCCATTTCCCTTATGACTTGTGATATTGTCTGCACATAGTTTAAGGTTTATACACTAACAAAGCTGATTACTAGCGGTGTGTGTGTATGGGGAACTGTGTGGCTGCCGAGTGGCTTCCCTGTGGGATGATCAGCCAGAACCCGCTATTGTATTAGGGGATCCCCAGACATCAGTGTTTATAGTTCTTTTTAGTTTTTACGGGTACATAGTAGGTATACATATTTATGGGGGACATGAGATATTTTGATACAAACATATAATGCATAATAATCACATCAAGGTAAATGGGATATCCATTATCTCAAACATTTATCATTTCTCTGTATTATAAATAATTCAGTTATATGCAGTTATTTTAAAATGTACAAAAAACTATTGCTGACTATAGTTACCCTGTTATGCTACCAATTAGTAGATCTTATTTATTGTAACTATATTTTGTACCTATTTACTATCCTCATTTCCCCCCACCAACTATATTTCCCAGCCTCAAGTAACAACCATTCTACTCTATCTTTGTGAGTTTGTTTTAATGTTTAGCTCCCCAAAATGAGTGTGAATGTGCAAAGTTTATCTTTCTGTGGCTGGCTTATTTAACTTAATATCCTCCAGCACCGTTCTGTGTTGTCACTAATGACAGAATCTCATTCTCTGTTATGGCTGAATAGTACTCCATTGTATATATGCACATTTTCTTTGTTCATTCATCTGTTGATGGACACTTAGGTTGCTTCCACATCTTGGATATTGTGAATTAGTAATGCAGTAAACATAGGAGTGCAGCTATGTCTTTGATATATTGATTTTCTTTTTCATGTATATGTCTAACAATGAGATTTCTGGATCCTATGGTAGCTCTATTTTTAGTTTTTTGAGGAACCTCCAAATTGTTCTCCATAGTGGTTGCACTAATTTACATTCCCACCAACAGTATGCAAGGGTTTGCTTTTTTTCCATATCCTCACCAGCATTTGTTATTGCCTGTCTTTTGAATAAAAGCCATTTTAACTGGGATGAGATGATATTTCCTCATAGTTCTGATTTGCATTTCTCTGATAATCAGTGATGTTGATCACCTTTTCCTAAGTCTGTTAGCCTTTTGTATTTTTTCTTTTGAGAAACGTCTATTAAGATCTTTTGCCCATTTTAAAATCAGATTATTAGATTTTTCTCTATACAGTTGTTTGAGCTTTTTATATATTCTGGTTATTAATCCCTTATCAAATGGATAGTTTGCAAATATGTTTCCCCATTTTGTGGATTTTCTCTTTGTTGATTGTTTCTTCTGCTGTGCAGGAAGCTTTTTAACTTAATGGGATCCCGTTTGTCCACTTTTGCTTTGGTTGTCTGTGCTTGTAGGGTATTGCTTAAGAAATCTTTTCCCAGTTTAATGTCCTGGAGAATTTCCCCAATGTTTTCTTGTAGTAGTTTCATAGTTTGAGGTCTCAGATTTAAGTCTTTAATTTGTTTTGGTTTGGTTTTTATATATGATGAGAGATAGGAGTCTTGTTTCATTCCTCTGCATATGGATATCCTGTTTTTGCAGCACTATTTATAGAAGAGATTGTCCTTTCTCCAATTTATGTTCTTGGCACCTTTATTGAAAATGAGCTCACTGTAGATGGATGGATTTCTTTTGGATTCTTTATTGTGTTTCATTGGCCTCTGTGTCTGTTTTTATGCCAGTAGCATGTCGTTTGGGTTACTATAGGTCTATGGTATAATTTGAAGTCAGGTAATCTGATCCTTCCAGTTTATTTCTCTATGCTCAGGATAGCTTTGGCTATTCTGGACTTTTTGTGGTTCCATATAGATTTTAGAATTATTCTATTTTTGTGAAGAATGTCATTGATATTTTGATAGGGGTTGCATTTAACCTGTAGCTTTCTTTGAGTTATATTGACATTTCAACAATATTGATTCCTCCAGTCCATGAAGGTGGAATATCTTTCCATTTTTGGTGCCCTCTTCAATTTCTTGCATCAGTATTTTATAGTTTTCATTGTAGCAATCATTCATTTCTTTGATTAAGTTTATTCCTCATTTTATTTGTAGCTATTGTAAATGGGATTGCTTTCTTAGCTTTTTTCAAAATGTTTGATGTTCACATATAAAAACGATACTGATTTTTTTATGTTGATTACGTATCCTGCAAATTTCTTGAATTTGTTTATCAGTTCTAATAGTTTTTTGGAGTCTTTAGGTGTTTCTAATTATAAGAGATTGTCTGCAAATAATTATAATTTGATTTATTTCCAATTTGGATGCGTTTTATTTCCTTCTCTTGTCTGATTGCTCTAGCTACGACTTCCAGTACTTCCAGAAAAAGCTCAATTAATACTGAATTAACAGTGGTGAAAGTGGGCATCTCTTGTTCTAGATCTTAGAGGAAAGGCTTTCGTTTTTTTTCCCATTCAGTAAGATACTACTTAATGGGTGTGTCTTATATGGGTTTTATTGTGTTGAGGTGTGCTTCTTCTATACCCTGTTTTTTAAGCATTTTCACAATAAAATGTTGAATTTTATCAAATGCTTTTACAGCATCAGTTGACATGATTATATAATTTTTGTCCTTCATTCTGTTGATATGATCACCTTGATTTGCATATGTTGAACCATCCTTCTATTCCTGGGATAAATTCCACTTGGTCATTATGAATAATTTTTTAATATGTTGTGGAATTTGTTTTGCTTGTAAATTTTCTTGAGGATTTTTGCATCAGTTTTCCTTAGGGATATTGGCCTGTAGTTTTCTTTTTTAATGTGTCTTTGGTTTAAGTATCAGCCATCGAAATACTCCTCCCTCCTCTATTTTTTGGAATAGTTTGAGTCGGATTGGTATTAGTTCTTCTGTAAATATTCGGTAAAATACAGCAGTGAAGCTATTGTTTTTAGGATTTTCTTTGTTGGTACTTTTTATTAAGGCTTTGATCCCGTTATTTGTTATTGGTCGGTTCAGGTTTTGAAGCTTTTCGTGTTTCAATCTTGGTAGGTTGTGTGTATCTAGGAATTTATCTATTTCTTTTAGGTTTTCGTGAGTCTTTTTGGTGAGCTGGTCAGCTTTCTTCTCATGAAAATGACTTAGTTTTCTGCTAAGGGCCACACATTTGACTGCAACTGTTATGGAAGCTGAATGGAAGCAGAGGCTTGATAATTGTGCCTGTCAGTGTATGTAGAACTCACTTTAAAACCCTGTTTGGGGAGGATACTGTAGCCTATCCGTATGTGTGCCTGTGAGCCCAGTGTCCCTGGGCTCAGGGCTACTGTGGTTTAATTTCTCTAAAAGATAAACCTTCCATTTGTTTCTGCTAGTGGAAGGTTTCGTTGTCTGGCTGCATAGGATGAGGGAGGGTTCTTAAAGGTGGAGTGCTCCTCAAATGGACTGTCAACTTGATCTTCTGTCCTTCATAGTGAAGTTTCTGTATCATCTCATGTTATTTTCAAAAGCATTTTCCTACCCTTGCCTTTGCATTGACTGCCCAGTCTTCCACCTTCCCTGTACCTCACAGTTACCTCATGTGCCTTACAGGTACCTTGTGCTGTAATTTCTTCAGGTTTCACAGGGTTCTGTTAGGAGAACAGAAACAGAAGGAGGTAATCTAAGTAAACCTGTACCTATTAAATAAATCAAAAACTGATAATCTTCCAAAACAGAAAGCACTTGGCCCAGATGGTTTCACTGGTGAATTTCATCATTTAAGGAAGAGATGGAACCAACTTTCTGCAATCTCTTTCAGAACATAAAAGTAGAAGGAACACTCTCTAATGCATTCTATAAGGCTAGCATAACCCTAATACCAAAAGCAGATAAAAACATTACAAGAAAGGAAAACCATAGACTAATATCTCTTATAAACAGAGAAGCAAAATTCTCAACAAAATATTGGCAAATTGATAGCTAGGTGTGGTGGCTCATGCCTGTAATCCCAGCACTTTGGGAGGCTGAGGCGGGTGGATCACCTGAGGTCAGGAGTTCAAGACCAGCCTGGCCAAGATGGTGAAACCCTGTCTCTACTAAAAATACAAAAATTAGCCAAGCGCAGTGGCGGGTGCCTGTAATCCCAGCTACTTGAGAGGCTGAGGCAGGAGAATCACTTGAATCCGGGAGGCAGAGGTCGCAGCGAGCCAAGATCACACCACTGCACTCTAGCCTGGGTGACAGAGCAAGACTCCATCTCAAAAAATATATATATATACACACACACACATATATATATATATATATATACGTGTATATGTATATATATGTATATATATGTGTGTATATATACGTGTGTATATATACGTGTGTGTATATATATACACGTGTATATATATATACGTGTGTATATATATACACGTGTATATATATATACGTGTGTATATATATACACGTGTATATATATATATACGTGTGTATATATATACACGTGTATATATATATATACGTGTGTATATATATATATATACACGTGTATATATAGGCAAATTGAATGAAATATTATATAAAAAGAATTATAAATCACAAGAGAGATTTATTCCAGGTATGTGAAGCTAGTTCAACATTTGAAAATCAATAAATGTAATCCATCATATCAAAGAAGAAAAATCACGTGGTCATATCAATAAATAAAGAAAAAGTATGTGATATCCAACACCCATTCATGATGAAAACTCTCAGCAAACTTGGAATAGAGGGGAATTTCCTTAACTTGATAAAGAATAGCTACAACAGCAACCCTGCAGCTAACATAATACTTCATGGTGAGAAGCTAGACGCCTTTCCCCTAAGATTTAAAACAAGGCAAGAATGTCACCCTCACCACTCCTATTTAATATACTGGAAGTTCTAGCAAATGTGATAAGAAAATAAAATAAAAGGTAAGAAAGGAAAAATATAGATGAGAAAGGAACAAATAAAACTGTCTTTGCTCACAGATGGCATGATTGTCTATGCAGAAAATCTCAAAGAATCAACATATACATCATCTCTTCATAATGAAATATATGAAATATACTGTTTTTCCTTGGGTATTGGCTGGATTGTAAAATGCTTCTCCCACCTTCTTACCCCAACCTTCTTCCTTGTAGGTTAGAGTTACTTGTTATTGGTAAATAGCCACTGTGGAGACTAAGGACCAAAAGAAACACAGAAAGAAATTTTACAGAAGAAAAACAGTGGGCCCAAAGCTGAAAAGAAAAAGAAGCAGCATCTGCAGGATCTCCAGCTAGGGGATGAAGAAGATGTCTGGAAGAGAAATCCCAAAGCTTTTGCAATTCAGTCTGCTGTGGGGATGGCTTGATCCTTTCACAGGTATGTATAGCTGCAGTCTGATGCTTCTTCCATTGATTCTTTTTAAATAGTAGGAGCATCTCACAGGTGACATTTGGATTCACAAGTTTAGTCACACTCCAAAGGACATGGAGATGCATGATGTGTGGCTTTTACTAAAACATGAGAAGACTTCCCATAGAAGCTGTCTTGCCTCCAGCATCTGCACACTGGTTGGTGTTTCTTGCCCAAGATACAAGAATTTATGGAATTTGTTTCTTCCTAAACTTTAAACTGTTTCTATGGTGATAAGTGTGCTTTTTCCCTCCAGATATGTTTTACAAAGTTGTAATATAAAATACAAAAATTACAATTTGTAATGCTAACATAGCTTTAGTGAGTCCTTGTGATATGCCTAGCAGTGTACTTTAAACATTATTCAACTAAATACTTCCAGCAGCCTTACCAGAGTAGGAATCATTCTTGCCTTCATTTTATGGATAAGAAAACTGAGGTCAAGAAAACAAGTTACCTCCAATCATAAAGCCAGTAAGTAGGAGAGCCAAATTTAACTCCAGAGCCTCTGATCTTATCTGTTACGATGCACTGCCTCGGTATTTACCTTTTGTTTTTAAAAAAACTATTAAAATCACTCATAAAACAGTCAGATTTAAGGAGTGTTTAATTTTCAACTCTTTATACTATTGAAGTCATCTTGCTACATCTTTATTGAACAGCAGTTATTTGGATGGGGGCCAGTAGTTAACAAATTAATAATTGACAGGTTAATTATATTTTTATATTGTCTGTTGTACTCTCTATAAAATATACTAAAGTACTCATATCTATAAGTAAACTAAAAAAAGTCTACTTATAAGGTTGATACCTTTTACTCTATTTTGAAAATGAGTTTACTTTTTTTTTTAATGAATAGGACTCAGGATTTGAAGACAAAAAAGCATCATATTCCAGTGGTTGATCAGACTCCACTAGAGCCGCCACCAATAGTGATAGTGGTGACGGGGCCTCCAAAAGTTGGAAAGAGCACTTTGATATAATGCCTCATTGGGAACTTCACCCAGCAGAAGTTGACCGAGATCAGAGGCCCTGTGATGATCGTGTCAGGTAGGAGATGCCACCACAGCCACAGAGTTGGCCTGGCTGTTGTCATCTGAGGGAGATGCATGTGTTTTCTGTTTTCTTGAGTGGAACATGTTAAATTTTGTCATATCATGTTAACTCTCTTATACTTTTACTAAGTTAGCTATAACTTCAGAAAAGGGTAAGTTCCCAGAGATAAGGATGTGATACATATCTTATCCTGACTGCTGTATGGCTTTGCCAAGCATGTTGCTTGGAAGGGCGTAGCAGGCCTGGTCACTGTGAACATATCATTTAACAAATAGCATGTACCTCCTATGTGCCAGGTGCACATGCTTGCCCTTATGAAGCCACATGCTGGTGGAAGTGCGCGTTTTCTCTTTTTCCTGTGAGAATTTGTCTGCTTTGGGAGATGGCGACCTTTCCAAGTTTGAGAGAAGATGAAACAAACTTCCAGTGGTAGAATGGCAATGTACACTCTGAAACCTCTTGTTATTGCAATAATATAGTTGGATTGAGGCTTTTCTTTATCTTTGGAGCATCCATATTTTCTTTTCCTTTTTTTGAGACAGGGTCTTATTCTGTGGCACAGGCTGGAATGCAGTGGCGTGATTACAGTTCACTGCAGCCTCAACTTCCCAGGCTTAAGCAATCCTCCTACTTTAGCCTCCTGAGTAATGTATGCCACCATACCTGGCTAATTTTTCTTTTTTTTTCTTTCTTTTTTTTTTTTTGTAGAGATGGGGTTTCCCCATGTGGCACAGGGTGGTCTCAAAACTCCTAGGCTCAAGGGATCTGTCTGCCTTGGCCTCCCAAGGTGCTGGGACTACAGGCATGAGCCACTGTGCCCAGCCCATATTTTCTTGACTGTTTTCTTTTTACCTTAATTTAGAAATAATTATTGTTATGAATATTCTGTTGCATAATGTTTGAGGATGTTTTTAGCTATAGTGGGAATATGGGAAGTTTTGATAGAGGCGAAGACATTGGCCTGTAGCTGAATAGCAGGATCATGGTTATCATGGAGCCTGTCCAGTCAGAGTTTTCTCTGTTTTTGCACTTGTATTCATCTGGGTAGACTTTTGATATTATTTAAATTTAGGACACAGCAAGAAAAACAGGATGGAATTTATTTTATTTTACCAGTTTTTGCCTATAAAAATGAACTTCTGGTACACTCCTATAAACGTATATGGTGTTTTACTGGATGCAGTTAAAAAATGAAAGTTAAAGTTGATGCTTAGAGTGTTTTCAGGGTCTTTTTAAAGTAAAATTTTTATCTTTTTCACTTACAGGTAAAAAGCTCCGACTCACCATTATTGAATGTGGGTGTGACATTAACATGATGATTGATCTGGCTGAAGTAGCAGATCTGGTAAGTCAGCAGGGGCAGCCTGGGGTGCTGATGGAGACTTACAGCATTGTGATAGGTTATTTACCCCGTGATGAAGGGAAGAGAGTTTTATGATTATTAAAGGAATCATGGTCATCATCAGGGATACAGTAGATGTGATTGAATTGATGATGATAATAATAGTAATAAATATTGTTATATTAATAATACAAATGGAATGTGCACAATGAAATGTATTCCAAAATCTAAAAGCAAATCACAGGATAGAGAAAACCTTTAATGAACACAGCTAATAAGAGCTCATTAACATGCATACATATATACGTACAAATATTTCATAGTAAGTACCATTTCTTCTTGGACCCTTCCTGGCACTGTGCTAACTACTTTCTACAAACTTAGCTTACATAAACTCTTGATATACCCTTGAGGTGAGTAGGTATTATCTGTAGTTTACATAAGATGAAATAGAGCCTCCCAGCAGTTAAGTAACTTGTGTGAAGATGGGACCCTTGTTCATGATGGTTCTAGAACCTTCATCATTAATGATAATGCTGAAGTAAGTACATGAATTGCCTGAAGAAGTGGTCAGAGTTTATCATAGAAAATCTAGCTAGTACTCAGTGTGTGGAAAATGTATACACTCTTGCATTTATGGAAATGATAATGTTCAGTATTTCTGATATTCTATTAACTATTTTTTAAATTAGCAAAAATAAAATACAAATTGGCAAAAAAAAAAAAAAGAAAGTCCGGGCACTGTGGCTCACAGCTGTAATCCCAGCACTTTAGCAGACTGAAGTGGCGGATCACCTGAGGTCAGGAGTTCGAGACCAGCCTGACCAACATGGAGAAACCCTGTCTCTACTAAAAATACAAAATTAGCCAGGCGAGGTGGCGCATGCCTGTAATCCCAGCTACTTAGGAGGCTGAGGCAGGAGAATTGCTTGAACCTGGGAGGCAGAGATTGTGGTGAGCCGAGATTCCGCTATTGCACTCCAGCCTGGGCAACAAGAGCAAAACTCCATCAAAAAAAAAAAAAAAAAAGCAAAAAAAATAAGCCTTATTGATTAGGAAGTGTGGGGTGACAGATACCTTATTTTTTTCATTTTTATATATTTTTCGTTTTGTTTTGTTTTTATTGGAGACGGGGTTTCACCATGTTGGCCAGGCTGGTCTTGAACTCCTGACCTCAGGTGATCCGCCTGCCTCAGCCTCCCAATGTGCTGGGATTACAGGCCTGAGCCACCGCGCCTGGTCTTTTATCTAGTTTTTTCTAGAGCTACAGTTTTTATACTTTGGCCCAGGAAGACCCATAAAATATAAAGTGAAAAGTAATACAGATTTTAAAGTTGTGCCATTGTAATGTCAGAAAACTAGATAACCTCAAATTTTGAATCTATAATGCTATTAGTAAAAATAAGTGTTATTATTAATATAAAGTTGTGTATAAATCTTGTGTACTTGAAATAGTTCATAGAAGTCATTTGTTTCTCTTTTATTTAAAGTGTAGCAAGTTTCTAATTTTAAAGACATACATGTTAAGAGATGCCTTTACTTTTTTATTTTTAATTATTATGGATACATAATAGTTATACATATTTATATTTTATGTGTGTGATCATCAAATCAGGGTAATTAGGATATCCATCACTTCAAACATTGATCATTTCCTTGTTTTAGGAACATTTCAATTTCATTCTTTTAGTTATTCTGAATTATATAATAAATTATAGTCACCCTAGTGTGCTGTTGGACACTAGAATTTATTCTAACTGTATTTTTGTACCTGTTAACCTTTCCCTCTTTGTCCCTCCCTCCCTGCTCCCCTTCCCAGCCTCTTAACCATCATTGAGAGAGATGCCTATGTAAATCTTTTTAAGATTTTCAAAAGGAGCACACACATTTAGTAAAGCACTCTAGCTAATGCAGGATACACACGATGTGCGTTTTCTTATTCCTTGCTCTAACCACTGGTCTCTCAGATCCCTGCAGAGCAGTATCCTCCTAGATACATATAAACCCACATGCCACCGTTTAAAAACACAAATGGTAGCTTATTTTACACACTGTTCTATGCTTTGCTTTTTTCGTGTAATATATCTTGAAGGTATATAATCAGTAAGTACTGTAGCTCTGCCTCCTTCTTTTTAATATAATATTCCATTCTGTGGACGCACCATAATTTATTTAGCCTAGCTTATGTTGATTGCTCTGCTCTGGGTTGTCAAAGCCTCCTGAGTACAGCAAAAGCACAGACAATATGTGGATTTGGGTGTGTATGTGTGTACATGTGTGGATTATGGGAGTAACACTGGCTTCGATGACAAAGATTGGCAGCTGAGGGACTGTTTGCTCCCTGTTCTTCCTGACCCTACAACCAGCTGCTTGTCCCTTGGCACTCTGTGGCATCAGATGTGGTGTGAGGACATTCTACCTGTTCTTTGAGCTGGTCCAGTGTTGCTGGAAAGCTCTGCTTGCTGCCTTGGTCCGCAGTGGCAGCTGTGCTTTCTTACAAGCTGACCATATATTCTGTGGTTTCGGATTATGGATGTTTCCTAGTTTAATCAAAGGTGGGCATTTCTGTTTCCATTTTTTGTTATTTTTAGTTATCTATGGAAAGATAGGAACAGAAATGTCTTTAATATTAAACCTAGAAGTTTCCAGGAATCAATTCTGAAATTATTTTGCATCTTTGAAGTGTCTTAAATTACAAAAATTGGTCTTATCTGCTTATATTTTCTTATAGAGTACCATTCATCATAATCTTACTGTTTTTTGACTTAATTCTAAACCGGTAGCTATTTAAAATAAAATTCTGAGCTACTGAGTTATGCAAATTACCATATAAGATAGAGGTGTACACCACATACTTGCCAGCAAAAAACAGATTGGTTTTTTTTTTCTATGAGGAGATTGAAACAAGAGGTTGATTTTCTGTACATATTTAATATATTTCATTGATTATCACTTTCTTCCCATTCTTTGGATGTCAGAGACCTATTATTTGGCTTAAAAATACCTTACAGAAAACTTCATTTCTTTAAATTAGGGTTTCTTAGGTAAGGGCCAGGTTAGACCCAGCCTTTTCTGAGTTACTTCTCATGCATTAGAATTCTTACAATGGATGTTTATATCCTAGTGGCCTTGTCTTATGGTTGCCTTTTAGAGCAAGTCAGAGGGTGGTGGTTTCTCTGGGTGATGCCTGTGTAGTCATTTGATTTAGTCTGGAGTGGGACTTTTCTGTTGAGGGCCAGGTAGTGAATATTGTTGGTTTTGTGGATCATATCTTCTGCAGCTACTTAGCTCTGCAGTTGTAGTGCACAGGCAGCCATAGATGATATGTAAATGAATTAATGTGGCTATGTTCCAATAAAACTTGAGTTACAAACACAGGCGATGGGCTGGATTTGGCCCGTGGGCCAGTTGCCAACCCCTAGTGTAGGTGGTCTGTTTTGGTAGTTTCTTCGAGAAATGATGTGTCCTGCTTTTAAGTACTGATGCTTATAGATGCCAGCTTTGGGTTCGAAATGGAAACCTTTGAGTTTCTCAACATCGGTCAAGTACGTGGCTTTCCTAAAATTATGGGAGTTCTCACTCACCTCGACTCCTTCAAGTATAATAGGCAACTGAAGAAGACAAGCAATTAAAACACAGGTTCTGGACAGAAGTTTACCTGGTAGGAAGAGAAATAATTGTTAGATACTAACAGTATAATCCTTTAAAAACAGACTAAAGAGGCCAGGCACAGTGGCACATGCCCGTAATCCCAGCACTTTGGGAAGCAGAGGTGGGCAGATCACTTGAGGCCAGGAGTTTCGAGCTCAGGGCAATATGGCCAAACCCCGTCTATACTAAAAATGCAAAAATTAGTCGGGTGTGGTGGCGGTGCATGTAATCCCAGCTACTCTGGAGGCTGAGATGTGAGAATTACTTGAACCTGCGAGGCAGAGGGTGCAGGGAGCTGAGATTGTGCCACTGCACTCCAGCCTGGGTGACAGAGTGAGACTCCGTCTCAAAAAACAAACAAACAAAAAACTGAAGAGACATTACTAAACGTCTCTCTAGGATTTGCCTCCTGAATTCCCTTTGTGTATGTTTTCCCAGTCTCTGGAAAGTTTCCCTCAAGAGAGTGGTTATTCTGGGCCTCTTAGTGTATCTCATTTGTCTCTGTACCTGCTGCACCAGGCAGTGTCTGGCTGTTTTGGGGTCGGGACTTAATAGAGTACATCAGAAGTTTCTCCCAGTTACAGGACGAGGCACTGCCCCTTCCTTTCCATACTGCTGTGGTCCATCGGCCACAGAACCGTTTCTGTGCTCAGAGGCCTCACCTCCCTCTCCTCACCATACTTAGATGGATGCCCCTGCTCGGCTGCAGAGCAGTCTGCCTCTGTGTGGTTCTAATAAGTCCTAAAAGAAGCCAGCAAGGCTCTGGAAGCCTCAGGACAGTGGCTTTGCTGGAAGTCTCCCTTCTTAGGATTGCTTCTTGTTTAGAGCTTTTATTTTGTTGCAGTATTGACGAGAATTTAATTGAAATTTAATTTTTAATTTTCCTTTAATGTTTAGGTTGCCAAGCTGTTCTACCTTTCTGGAATGGTGCATGGAGAATATCAAGACCAAGAAATCCACAATCTGGGCCATTTTATTACAGTTATGAAGTTTAGGCCTCTCACATGGCAGACGTCTCATCCTTATATCCTGGCAGACAGGTAAAAAGTGATTGTAAGCTTTTATTTCCTAGACCATATATTTCAAAGCTAAAAAGGCTAGAAAAAGAACAGTGATAGGATTTATTTTGTGCCTATTTGAATAGTGGGGGTAGAAGTGTAGTTGATGGAAAATGTCTACTTATATCATTGCTCAAAGATGCTGTGCCTTTGGGAGTAAATTAATTATGAGATGTTTAGGAAAATGGGAGGACTTGGAAGCATTTAAAGCTACAGGATATGGCCCCATCCTATGTTCAGCCTCAGTTTTCAGTGATGCTGCCTTCGTGCCCGGGTGCTTGAGTCCTTTATGTGTGCCTTCAGTTTCCTTCCTTTGTGCTCTTCTTTGTGCTGTGGTTTTCTCAGCCTGGAATACCCTTTTTCCACCTGCCAGAATCCAAGCCACAGTACAAATCCCAGAGCACAGGCTCACCCTCTTCCAGAAAGGGATTTTCTGAATATGTTCTTCACTCTTCCCTGACCCCAGGTGGACGTCATCTCCCTGTCTGGTGTCTTACGGAATGAATGTCACTTTCAGCCTAGAGACACAGTTGTGTGCCTGCCCCTTTTCCTCTGGTGGGTGGTGAATGGTGCTTCCTTATTTCTGTATTTTCTAGTTTTCTAAACGACATGCTTAGTGGACAAGAGTGTGATGAGTCATTGACACATGAAAGGACGTATAGGAACTTTGGCATTCATTTCTGCTGTATGATTGAGTTTATTTTTCTAGGATGGAAGATTTGAAAAACCCAGAGGATATCTGAACAAAATGTGACTGGCAGGTGTCACTTTATGGTTATTTAAGAGGAGCACACTTGAAAAATAAAAGCCAAATTCACATGCCAGGTATTCTCTTGTTGTAGAACATACTAGAATCACACATAGGATTCTTGGGATGGCTTCTTTTCTCAGGAAAACTGAAAAATGACCAAACAAGGGAAGATGGCTTTGGTGGAGGTTTTAAAAGTAAGCCAGCTATGTGTAGGCCTGTAAAGGTGTTATTGAATCCCCTCTTCTCTGACCTTTTGTCTTATAGCTAGAGGAGCACTGTTCCAGTGTGGCACAATACTCTTCTTTATGGTCATGGGTTAAGCCCTTGGACTGTGCATCGTTTTTTTTTTGTTTTGTTATTGGTGACTGACCCCATGAGTCATGCTCTTTACAAAGCATGCATTTGGATGTTTCTTTCTTTTTTTTATTATTATACTTTAAGTTCTAGGGTACATGTGCACAATGTGCAGGTTTGTTACATATGTATACATGTGCCGTGTTGGTGTGCTGCACCTGTCAACTCGAGATTTACATTAAATATATCTCCCAGTGCTATCCCTCCCCACTCCCCCACCCCACGACAGGCGCTGGTGTGTGATGTTCCCCAAAAATAAATAAATTAATTAATTAAATAATAGAAATTCTCGGCTGCTTTTTATAGCTGTAGAAAAAAAAATGAAATCTTATTTTAAACTTTTCTTTTTTTTTTTTTTTTTTTGAGACAGAGTCTCACTTTGTCTCCCGGCCTGGAGTGCAGTGGCGCGAACTCGGCTCACTGCAAGCTCCGCCTCCTGGGTTCACCCCATTCTCCTGTTTCAGCCTCCCGAGTAACTGGGACTACAGGGGCCTGCTACCACGCCCGGCTAATTTTTTGTATTTTTAGTAGAGATGGGGTTTCACCATGTTAACCAGGATGGTCTCGATCTCCTGACCTCGTGATCCGCCCGCCTCCACCTCCCAAAGTGCTAGGATTACAGGTGTGAGCCACCACGCCCGGCGAAGCTGACTTTTCCCATTATTTTTAACGGTAATTCATAAAATCCTTGTTAGGTTTGATGACAGGTACCATATTAAGGGCAGCATTTTATAACCCATATCTTAAACATCATCTCTGGAAGTTGAGAGCCTCCAATGGGTTTTCTATAGAGTGCACATGATACCACACTCAGGCAGTTCATGGAGTGTAAGACATATCTTAGTGCTTTGTCATTTGACATTTTAACTGAGAAAAAAATATACTTTGATAAGTTTGACTTACACTTCCCTTCCCCTTCAGGTATCTACTGAGCGTTTCAGTCAACAATACAGCTCGTGTTCGACAATATTCCTTGATGGCAGCACAGCCAGCCAGCATTATCTTATAATGACAATAATATCGTGAGTACAACTATACTGCCGAGGAACAGATTCCTTTATTCTAAAATTATTTCAGCCATTTGGTTGTCCTCTTCAGCAATCAGTTTGAGAAATTGGAGTCAACCATATATTGATATCCAGATTCTCAATATTAAGTATCAGTTTCTCTTTTAATCTTAGACGTCGTGGTGGAAGGAAAAATCAGTTAGCAAAGAAGCAATCCCAGAAACAGTGTATCTGTTTGATGCCTTTATGCCTTTAGACAATGTTGAACACAGTGAGAAGGATAGGTTCCCTTTATTGAATGTTTTTTGTGAAAACTTAGTTTTTCAGTGCATCATAGGCCTAAATCAGTGTGCACTACTTTGGACATTATCCTTGGGAGAAGGAACAGCTTTTCTTCTTCTGGCACCACAGTGTATCTGCATTTGAATTTCTCCCATTGTGCATGAGCACCTCATGGGCCACAAAGATGTGCTTTGAGAGCACCCTGAGATGAAGTTTATTTTAAAAGGAACAATAACCAACACCACCACCAGCTCCACAGGGGCTGTCCAGTGTACATTATTCTCATCTCCTTGGGTTATTAGTCTTGATTTTTAGAACACAGTTTGGAAAGTGCTAATTTAGAATATTAATGTCTTTATCTCTAATTTAACTTTTCATTCTGTAAACATAACTAGCTTATAAACAATTTTGTTTCAAATGCACTAGCCTTTTTAGCTAATTCAATTGTCAATAACTTTTACTTCAATTAAAAGTGGCAAGTTTACACTCATAATAATGTCACTTTCCTCCCTCCCTTTTAACAATAGTTGAGAGGAAATTGTGTTTCGAACAAAAACTGGACTCAAACTCTGTCTCAAGTCCTGAGCTTTGGGACCTATTGAGTAATCACTAAATGTCTGTAGTCAGCCAAGTCTCTTAAATCTTTGAGCACACATACACAAAAATTACTTTGACTAGAGTCCCTGGCTTCTTCTGAGTTCCAAAGATTTTGATATGTTAGCACATAATTCAAAAGCAGCTTTGAAGATTAATTTTGCTGAAACAAATTTCGTGCTTTTTTCCTAATTATTCTACTTTTTAGAAGTCTACTTTTGAGAGTATAGTAAGTTTTAATTTGCCACCAGCGAGTTTGAGAAATAATCATTTGGTGTATTCACTATTGGTGAAATAAAGTTATTGAACAAATTAATAGGGCAAATTGGCTTCAAGAAGATATTTTGAAAAATGTTTTATCATGAATCAGTAGTGCACTGTTGTCAGTGGGATAGGTGGAACTCACTGAGATCACTTATGCAAGGTTTTTTCAAAATACAAGTCTGCAAACACATGTATCTTCCCATCTCCACTTTCCCTCTATCTCTAGGCACTGAGAAGCCTTTTAGGAAAATCAGGATGGATGTGAGGCATCTTTCTGTGAAGAAAAGCATCCCAGAAGATTCTGATTTTCACCACAGCTCAATCATTCCAAACTTTGCTGCTGATTGAAATCACCTGGGAAACGTTTACCAAGAACCTTGATGCCCAAAGCCATACCCAATACTAATTAAATTAAAATGTCTCATGTTGAAGATGAGGCAGATATTAAAGCTTCTCAGGCGATTTTAATGTGCAGCGAAGTTTGAGAGCCACTGCTTAATTTGAGTTTAGGACGAGAAACTGCTCCTATTTGGTGGGACCTTGGGCAAGTCAGTTTTAAGGTTTGTTTCCCTGATCTGTAAAACGAGTGTTGAATTAAATGTCACATAAGGTCACTGGTCCTTTCCAGCATGTAACTTTAAATTCTGTGATTTTAAAATTATTTCAGAGATGAAAACTACTTGAAGCACTATAGACATATCCATCTTACATGCTAATGTTACAGGCTTTTTAAAAAGTGCTAATATTGTGTAGACCTATTAGTAGAATTGAGATTTGCCTTCCCTCAGTTGTTTTGAGCCTCACTCTACAAAATTAGCTGGGCGTGGTGGCACATGCCTGTAATCCCAGCCACTTGGGAGGCTGAGGCAGGAGAATCTCTTGAACCCGGGAGGCAGAGGTTGTGGTGAGCCGAGATCACACCATTGCACTCCAGCCTGGGCAACAAGAGCGAAACTCCATCCACACCCCCCCGCCAAAAAAAAAAATTATCTGGACATAGTGGCGCAAACTTGTAGTCCCAGCTTCTTGGGAGGCTGAGGCATGAGAATCGCTTGAACCTGTGTGGTGGAGGTTGTGAGGAGTCAAGATGGCATCACTGCAGTCCAGTCTGAGCAAGAGAGACAGACTCTGGGTCAAAAAATAAATAAATACATAAAATAAATCGCATGGGACGAAAGGTTTCGTGGGTAGAAAAGCATATAACAGGGAAATCTGTTATTATTTATATATTGTAATCACCAACAGAAACGCATCTTCTAACAGCATTTTCCTTGCATTTTGGTTCTCATATTTTTGTAAAAAACAAAGAAATGAAAACAAAGTGCGCTTATGGTACTGTTCTGAACTAGAAGATTTGAATTTCAGGGCCGCTAGGAGAGTTTCCTCTGCCCCCCTTTTAAAAAATGTCTTCAGGCCTAACAAATGATAACATCTATTGTTATGAATTTTTTTTCCTTCCACAGTGTGACCTTGGAGATACATCATCATATCACGGAAAGGTGAGCTTTTTAGAAACCTGTCTTGTTATTCTAGCTAATTACTTTGCAAGATATCAAGCTCAGTGTTAGGTCACAGCTCTAGACATCATAAGCTGTATTGTGTCTACTAAAATATCGAAGCAAATTATTTGTATTTTCTTTGTTCCTTAAGACTCTCATAATTCTTAAATGATTGAGAATCTCAAAGAGTATGTGTTTATATTGATTATATTGATATTTAGTGTGGTAGAATTATACATTTGAAAGTTTTTCAAAATCTATTTTTAGTTTAGATTTCACAGCCTTACCACTGTTGATATTATGTGCTAGATAATGCTTTGTTGTGAGGACTGTCTTGTGCATTGCAGAGAGTTTAGCAGTATTCATGGCCTCTACCAACTAGATGTCAGTAGTAACCCATGACCCAGGTTATAACAACAGAAAATATTCCTTGAGAACAGTATTGTTAACAGAAATTTTTCATTGAAAAATAACTTTTCTACAACAAAAAGTTGAGTAAAAAGTGTGTCATGTATTTATATTATTTAAAGTCTCTCATGTTGAGCTTAATAGGAGACAAATGGATTCTCTAGAGCTTTATTTGCAATTTGCTTTAAAGAAGCAATAAGAGGCTGGGCACGGTGGCTCATGCCTGTAATCCCAGCACTTTGGGAGGCTGAGGCGGGTGGATCACAAGGTCAGGAGATCGAGACCATCCTGGCTAACACGGCGAAACCCCGTCTCTACTAAAAATACAAAAACTTAGCTGGGCGTGGTGACACGCACCTGTAGTCCCACCTATTCTGGAGGCTGAGTTAGGAGAACCACTTGAACTTGGGAGGCGGAGGTTGCAGAGAGCTGAGATCGTGCCATTGCACTGCAGCCTGGGTGACAGAGCAAGACTCTGTCTAAACAAACAAACAAAAAAAGCAATAAGCTGGTGGGGCGCAGTGGTTCACACCTGTAATCCCAGCATTTTGGGAGGCTGAGGTGGGTGGATCACTTGAGGTCAGGAGTTTGAGACCAGCCCGACCAACATGGTAAAACCAGCCTCTACTGAAAGTACAAAAAATGGCTGGGCATGGTGGTGCACGCCTGTAGTCCCAGTTACTTGGGAGGCTGAGGCAGGAGAATCGCTTGAGCCTGGGAGGTGGAGGTTGCAGTGAGCCGAGATCTCGCCATTGCACCGCAGCCTGGGTGACAGAGAGAGACTGTGTCTCAAAAAAAGAAAAAAAGAAGCAATAAGATGACCTAACCTCATGCAAATATGTAGTTGGTAGAAGGTGTATTTTTAAAGTTTTCAGACAGTTGTGGGTATTTGTTAACACTAAATCAAAACTTCACAAGTGGTGGTTTCTTAAATTAGTTACGGTGGCATTTTACATATTAATAAATTTATTCCATCAGTACTCATTGATCTTTCTTGCACAGTAAATGGATCTTTTGCTCCATACTTGCATTTATAATATCATGCATTAGTTACTTGGAATATATTGGTTTATGTTTTATTGTGTCAAAAATCACTTTTAGTTTAACCACCAATCTTAGTTTAACACGCCTTTAAGTATTGAAAAGCTGCCAAGCCTACAGTAGAAGGAAGAAGTTTTTCAAAGTCCACAGGAAAGCTTAAATTTTATCATTGGGAACAAATACGTATTTCCCTTGAAGTGACAACCTCTCACTTCATTTATTTTTGAGAATGATAGTTGAACTGGTTTTTTAGACCAAGTTTCACTCTGTCACTTGGCTGGAGTGCATTGGCATGATCTCAGCTCAAGCAATCCTCTCACCTCAGGCTCCTGTGTAGCTGGGACCACCGGTGTGTGGCACCACACCAGGCTAATTTTCTTATATGTTTGATAGAGACAGGGTTTCGTTATGTTGCCTAGGCTGGTCTCGAACTCCTGAAGGAGCTCAAGCCATCTGCCTGCTTTGGCCTCTCAAAGTGCTGGGATTTTACAGGCATGAGCCACTGCACTGGCCCAGTTGTACTTTTAAATAAAAATGATGTTCTGTGAAAAAAGTGATTTTTCAGTTCACAGTTAAATCATGGATTCTTTAAAAACAAAAAAAAAAGCGCTTCTCGTTAACTTTCCACTTATTCAGAATATTAGAGACATGTCAAGATTTAACAACATTAATTTTTACTGCTTCATCAAAGACATTCTTAAGAAATTCAGGCTATGTTTTTTACCTGTAGGGGACAGTGAAGAATAGAAAGACTACTAATGTAATTGGTACCACTGCCTTGATTTATGCTGAGAAACCAGCCATTGTACCCACTTTTGCTTTTATACAATCATGGCAAGTGTCAATAAAAAAGCAGGCAATGACTTTGTATTACTTTCACAAATTTTTAAAATTTTTCATCAGCTTTCTCAGGTTTAATTAGTATGATTCAGAACAGTGTTGGCCAGGCACAGTGGCTCAGGCCTGTAATCCCAGCACTTTGGGAGGCCGAGGCAAGCGGATCACCTGAGGTTAGGAGTTCAAGACCAGCCTGGCCAACATGGTGAAACCACATCTCTACTAAAAATACAAAAATTAGCCAGGAGTGGTGGCAGGTGCCTGTAATCCCTGCTACTTGGGAGGCTGGGGTAGGAGAATCACTTGAACCTGGGAGGTGAAGGTTGCTGTGAGCCAAGATCACACCATTGCACTCCAGTCTGGGCAACAAGAATAAAACTTGTTTTTTTTTTTTAAAAAAAAGAACAGTTATGAGCTCTTAGGCCTTCTGGAAGGGGTCTTCAGGATCCTGAGAGGTCCACAGAGCACATTTGGAGAACCACTGGTTTATACACAGACACAATGCATTAGTTTTACAAAGTTTAAAGTTCATCAAAGACTGGCCTCTTAAAAAGGCAGATGAGTTTGTCATTCAAACAACAGAAAATACATAAATACATCATGAGAGTATACTACAGAGAACTAAAGAGAAAGGAAGCTAGGAAATCTGAATCACATTTACATTTATTAAAGTTTACTACTACTGCTTTGTAGAACATTCTTGTGTTTCAATGTGTGGTTAGAAGAGTGAAAATATATTTGGCTTATTGCCATGGCCTGTTAGGGAGAGTCAATACTCATGGGCATTTCTGACTGGTTATCATATAAAAGACTTCACGGTACAGGCCATGATGTGCTGAGAAAGAAGAAGTCAGGAAACCCTCTGCAAGTCAGGATCCAGGAGAAGAATTCGTAAAAACTGCTTTGGTAAAGTAAACACCAAAGCACACAGGAGGCAGTATTTTACTAAACAAATATTATACTAAGATATTAACAGTTTTTGAAGTAATGCGCTTTCTTATTTTTTAGAGATGCAGATAGATCTTTGACCATACTTGATGAACAGTTATACTCATTTGCGGTAAGTGGCACTTTTATTGAGGTTGTATTTTCATCGTACACTTGTATCTGTTTCATGCTGAAGTCAAAGCCATCTTTTTTTAAATCTTCCCCATTTCATGTTGCATTTAGTCATCTTAAGTGTTGTAAAAAGAATGTGCTGGAGTAAGAACTGATCTGCGGCTCTGTTTAGTTAGTGAGCTAGTATGAGTAAATATACTATCCAAACAACAGAAAATGTATCTTTTTTTTTTTTTTTTTTTTGATGGACTCTCTTTCTGTAGCCCAGGCTGGAGTGCAATCGTGCGATCTTGGCTCACTGCAGGCTCTGCCTCCCAGGTCCCTGTTCAAGCAATTCTCCTGCCTCAGCCTCCCGAGTAACTGGAATTACAGGCATGTGCCACCATGCCCAGCTAATTTTTTTTTCTTTTTTCTTTCTTTTTTTTTTTTTTTAGTAAAGACAGGGTTTCACCATGTTGGCCAGGATGGTCTTGAACTCCTGACCTCGTGATCCACCCACCTTGGCCTCCCAAAGTGCTGGGATTACAGGTGTGAGCCACCATGCCTGGCCCAGAAAATGTATCTTTTTAAAAGGTAATTGTGAGCTGTCTATAGGACCCTGCAAGCCACTACCCAATTTTTGAAGCCATTCTTCTTCTGTTCCACACAGTTTTCCACCGTGCACATTACGAAGAAAAGAAATGGAGGTGGGAGTTTAAATAACTATTCCTCCTCCATTCCATTGACTCCCAGCACCAGCCAGGAGGACCTTTATTTCAGTGTTCCTCCCACTGCCAACACACCCACGCCCATTTGCAAGCAGTCCATGGGCTGGTCCAACCTGTTTACATCTGAGAAAGGGAGTGACCCAGACAAAGGGAGGAAAGCCCTGGAGAGTCACGCTGACACCATCGGGAGCGGCAGAGCCATCCCCATTAAACAGGGCATGCTCTTAAAGCGAAGTGGGAAATGGCTGAAGACATGGAAAAAGAAATATGTCACCCTGTGTTCCAATGGCGTGCTCACCTATTATTCAAGCTTAGGTGATTATATGAAGAATATTCATAAAAAAGAGATTGACCTTCGGACATCTACCATCAAAGTCCCAGGAAAGTGGCCATCCCTAGCCACATCGGCCTGCGCACCCATCTCCAGCTCTAAAAGCAATGGCCTATCCAAGGACATGGAAGCTCTGCATATGTCAGCCAATTCAGACATCGGGCTGGGTGACTCCATATGCTTCAGCCCCAGTATCTCCAGCACCACCAGCCCCAAGCTCAACCTGCCCCCCTCCCCTCATGCCAATAAAAAGAAACACCTAAAGAAGAAAAGCACCAACAACTTAAAAGATGATGGCCTGTCCAGCACTGCTGAGGAAGAAGAAGAAAAGTTTATGATTGTGTCCGTCACTGGCCAAACGTGCCACTTTAAAGCCACGACGTATGAGGAGCGGGATGCCTGGGTCCAAGCCATCCAGAGCCAGATCCTGGCCAGCCTGCAGTCATGCGAGAGCAGTAAAAGCAAGTCCCAGCTGACCAGCCAGAGTGAGGCCATGGCCCTGCAGTCGATCCAAAACATGCGTGGGAACTCCCACTGCGTGGACTGTGAGACCCAGAATCCTAAGTGGGCCAGTTTGAACTTGGGAGTCCTCATGTGTATTGAATGTTCAGGAATCCACCGCAGTCTTGGCACCCGCCTTTCCCGTGTGCGATCTCTGGAGCTGGATGACTGGCCAGTTGAGCTCAGGAAGGTTATGTCATCTATTGGCAATGACCTAGCCAACAGCATCTGGGAAGGGAGCAGCCAGGGGCAGACGAAACCCTCAATAGAGTCAACGAGGGAAGAGAAGGAACGGTGGATCCGTTCCAAATATGAGCATAAGCTCTTTCTGGCCCCACTACCCTGCACTGAGCTGTCCCTGGGCCAGCACCTGCTGCGGGCCACCGCTGATGAGGACCTGCGGACAGCCATCCTGCTGCTGGCACATGGCTCCCGTGAGGAGGTGAACGAGACCTGTGGGGAGGGAGACGGCTGCACGGCGCTCCATCTGGCCTGCCGCAAGGGGAATGTGGTCCTGGCGCAGCTCCTGATCTGGTACGGGGTGGACGTCATGGCCCGAGATGCCCACGGGAACACAGCGCTGACCTACGCCCGGCAGGCCTCCAGCCAGGAGTGCATCAACGTGCTTCTGCAGTACGGCTGCCCCGACGAGTGCGTGTAGTATCTGTTTTATTTGACTGCAGTCTCCTTGGTGTAAAAACAAAATGGGAAAAATAAGGATAACTCAGAATTTCAAAAGGAAATCACAAATTCAGCTAATAATAGCATTTTCAGTACTTTTCGTAAACTAAGTAAATACACAAAATGTTGATTTTTCTGACCATAAGACATATTTTATGTCCTTTTGCCGAGGTGGGTGTGTTAGTCTCAGGCCCTCCTGGCCACATTGCCCAAGTCACACAGGCTTCTGTATTATGTATTTAGATAAGATGTGTGAAAATATATTTGAAAAAAAGTTCATAAATATGCATTGATTTTTGTACATATGGCACCTCTTTTTCATTTTTATTTTTATTTTTTTTGGACGATGTTTTGCTCTGTCGCCCCAGCTGGAGTGCAGTGGCATGATATCTGCTCACTGCAAGCTCTGCCTCCCAGATTCACACCATTCTCCTGCCTCAGCCTCTCAGGTAGCTGGGACTACAGGTGCCTGCCACCACACCTGGCTAATTGTTTTGTATTTTTAGTAGAGACGTGGTTTCACCATGTTAGCCAGGATGGTCTCGAACTCCTGACCTCGTGATCCACCTGCCTCAGCCTCCCAAAGTGCTGGGATTACAGGCGTGAGCCACCGTGCCCGGCCCATGGCACCTCTCTTAATTTATAAATTGAACTGGATGTGAACTAATAATGTCAGCTAGTTGAGATAAGAGGGTTACAGATCTGGGCGCAGTGGCTCACACCTGTAATCCTAGCACTTTGGGAGGCCTAGGCGGACTGATCACCAGGTCAGGAGATCGAGACCATCCTGGCTAACATCATGAAACCCCATCTCTACTAAAAAATACAAAAAATTAGCTGGGCATGGCCGGGCGTGGTGGCTCACACCTGTAATCCCAGCACATTGGGAGGCCGAGGCAGGCAGATCACGAGGTCAGGAGATCAAGACCATCCTGGCTAACATGGTGAAACCCCGTCTCTACTAAAAATACAAAAAAAAAAAATTAGCCAGGTGTGGTGGCAGGCACCTATAGTCCCAGCTATTCGGGAGGCTGAGGCAGGAGAATGGCGTGAACCCAGGAGGCGGAGCTTGCAATGAGCTGAGATTGCAGCACTGCACTCCAGCCTGGGCGATCAAGCGAGACTCCATCTCAAAAAAAAAAAAAAAATTAGCTGGGCATGGTGGCAGGCACCTGTAGTCCCAGCTACTTGGGAGGCTGAGGCAGGAGAATGGCATGAACTCAGGAGGCAAAGCTTGCAGTGAGCAGAGATTGTGCCACTGCACTCCAGCCTGGGCAACAGAGCGAGACTCGGTCTCAAAAAAAAAAGAAAAGAAAAGGAGGGTTACAGATCATTGCACATGGAAAATATTTCCAGCAGTAAACACTCCCATTAATGTGATCTACAGCTTTTAAAAAGGAGCATCTCAGAATAAGATGGTGGTACAATTTGCTTATTGAGAAAGGAAAAAAAAAAACACACGAGTATATTACAAGGGGAAAAGAAGGAATGTGATTTCTCATGATTGAAAGCTTGATTTAGATTGCATACAGCTTTTGCTACCCAAGACCAAGCAGCTCTGGCAAGACAGGGTGGTTTTCCAAATGCCAGACCGAGGTGCCTTATGAAGGCAGCTGCCGATGGTTCCAGATGTAGAGAGATAGGTGATGCAGGAGGGAAAGCTGGATTGGAAAAGGGAGAGTTTTGTAGACGGGCTACACTCATTGTGGCTTTGAAAGAGCAGAGCCGGCAGCCTCTAGTCATCATTTGGATATACAGGACTAGAGCATGAATCTGATGTAGAGCTACAGAATGAAGAGCAACAGCAGCTGTTTAAATACCGAGAAAGTGTGTAGAATGAAATTGGACAAGCCAAGCATGGTGGTTTCATGCCTTTAGTCCTAGCTACTTCGGAGGCTGAGGTGGGGGAATTGCTTGAGCTCAGCAGTTTGAGTCCAGCCTGGGCCAGATGGTGAGACCCTGTATCTTAAGAAAAGAAAAAATAAGACCAGGTACAGTATCTCATGCCTGTAATCCCAGCACTTTGGGAGGCCAAGTTGAGAGGACTGCTTGAGTGTAGGAGTTCAAGACCAGACTGGGCAATAAAGCGAGACCCATTTCTACCAAAAAAAAAATCAAGAAATTAGCTGGACATGGTGGCACATGCCTGTGGCCCCAGTTACGTGGCATGGCAGGCTGAGGCAGGAAGATCACTTGAGCCCAGGAGGTGGAGGCTGCAGTGACCCATATTCATGCCACTGCACTCCAGCCTGGGCAACAGAGTGAGACCCTCTCTCAAAAACAGATAAAGTGGACAGAAAATAGGTCGGTAAGGACTAATCATTTAAGGCACAAGTCCCCAGAAGAGTGGCTACTAGAGTGGGAGGAGGAAAAGCAGAAGGAGAAAGAGTTGAAGATAGGCGAGGCTGTGGTCCCAGTGCTGAATTCTGCCAAGCAGTGACTTGATTCATGAACACTCACTGGATGCTGACCCTGTTGCTCTTCTGAGTGCTGGGGTAGAGGGGAGGAGAGGTGGAGCACAGTTCTTGCTTTTATGAGCTTATGTTCTAGGAAGTTCAAGTATTTTTTCAGGTAGTATGAAATAGCAGGAAGAGGAAGCAGGCTAAAGGGACACAGAGTGATTGGGGGCTATTTTAAGTAGAATGATAAGGAAGAGCCTGTCTAGAGAGCTATTTGAACAGTGACCTGACTGAAGGGACAACAGAAAGCAGTGCTGACATTACAGGTAGCAGGATGACTGCCAAGACAGAAACGCATTTCATATGTGTTTGAGGAACAAGCAGCAAGGTGACCAGCATGGGGAGAGTGGAGAATGAGGGAAACCTTGAATGAGAATAAAGCAATTCCATCTTGGAGGCTAATCTGCCATATTCTGATTAATCCCAGTTCCAAGAATTCATCTACGATTTCTATTTTATCTTTTTAAAAAATTATTTTTTATTTTTTATTTTTTGAGACTGAGTCTCACTCTGTCTCCCAGGTTGGACTGCAGTGGCACAATCTCAGCTCACTGCAAACTTCACCTCCTGGGTTCAAGCGATTCTCCTGCCTCAGCTTCCCGAGTAACTGGGATTACAGGCGCCTGCCACCACGCCTGGCTAATTTTTGTATTTTTAGTAGAGACGAGGTTTTACCGTGTTGGCCAGGCTGGTCTGGAACTCCTGACCTCAGGTGATCCGCCCACCTTGGCCTCCCAAAGAGCTGGGATTGCAGGCGTGAGCCACCGTGTCTGGCCATACACATCCCTGCCGAAGCCCGCATTACCCTTCCCCTATGCTATAGAAGCCCTGGGTCGGGGGGGTGGGGGTAATGGCACAGGGATCCACCATCTTATCTTGGTGTCATCCCTGACTTGGCTTCTGTTCATAAACGCCTATTAAATGTTTCTTTCTGAGAAACTGGATTTGTCAGCCTCTTTCTTTGGTATCTCAGGTTCCTTGGTCTTTGCGGGTAGGTTTATATAGACCTGCTCAGCACAGGACAGGCAGTTTCTCAAAAAATTAAAAATAGAATTACCAAATGATCCAGCAATATCACTTCTGGGTATATAGCCAAAATAATTGAAAGCAAGGTCTCATAGAAATGTTTGTACACTGATATTGATAGCAGTGGTATTCACACTCATCAAAAGATGGATGCAGCCTAATTGTCCATAGGCAGATGAATTGATAAAATGTGGTATATACATACAATAAAATATTCTTCAGCCTTAAAAAGGAAGGAAATTCTAACACATGCTACAACATGGATGAACATTGAGGACGTTATGCTAAGTGAAACAAGCCAGTTAGAAAAAGACAAATACTGTGTTCTTTCACTTATGTGAAGCGTCTAGACTGAGTAAGCAAACTAATAGAAACAGAAAGTAGAACGGGGGTTGCCAGGGACATGGGGAAGGGAGAAAATGGGAAGTTGCTTAGTGGATATAGAGTTTTGGTTTTGTCAGATGAAAAAGTTCTGGAGATTGGTTGCATGGCAATGTGAATATACTCTACATTACCCAACCCAAGGGCTCTCCTTGACCCCTGTTCCAACTACCACTTAGAAGTGGTTAAGGTAGTAAATTTTATGTATATTTTACCACAATTCAAAATAGAATTATTATTTTTTTTATTATAATTTTTTGAGATCCCTCACTCTGTTGCCCAGGCTGGAGTGCAATGGCGCCGTCTCGGCTCACTGCAACCTCTGCCTTCTGGGTTCAAGCGATTCTCCTGCCTCAGCCTCCCAAGTAGCTGGAACTTACAGGCACATGCCACCATGCCCAACTAATTTTTGTATGTTTAGTAGAGACGGGGTTTCACCATGTTCGCCAGGCTGGTCTTGAACTCCTGACTTCAGGTGATCCACCTGCCTTGGCCTCCCAAAGTGCTGGGATTACAGGTGTGAGCCACCATGCCCGGCTGTCAAAATAGGTGTTTTTTGTTTTGTTTTGTTTTGTTTTGAGATGGAGGTTTGCTTTTGTTGGCCAGGCTGGAGTGCAATGGCAGGATCTCGGCTCACGGCAACCTCCACCTCCCATGTTCAAGCAATTCTACTGCCTCAGCCTCCCGAGTAGCTGGGATTACAGGCATGCACCACCATGCCCAGCTAATTTTGTATTTTATTTTAGTATAGATGGGGTTTCTCCATGTTGGTCAGGCTGGTCTCCAACTCCTGACCTCAGGTGATCCACCCACCTTGGCCTCCCAAAGTGCTGGGATTACAGGTGTGAGCCATTGCGCCTGGCCCTTTTTTTTTTTTTTTTTTTTTTGTGATGGACTTTTGCTCTTGTTATCCAGGCTGGAGTGCAATGGCACGATCTCAGCTCACTGCAGCCTCTCCTCCCAGGTTCAAGCGATTCTCTTTCCTCAGCCTCCTGAGTAGCTGGGATTACAGGCATGCACCACCATGCCTGGCTAATTTTGTATTTTTAGTAGGTATGGGGTTTCTCCATGTTGATCAAGCTGGTTTTGAACTCCTGACCTCAGGTGATCCACCCACCCCGGCTTCCCAAAGTGCTAGGATTACAGGCGTGAGCCACTGCGCCTGGCCTGAAAAAAAATTTTAAAGTTTGAGAAAATACAAAATTTTCATAGTCTCCAAGTATTTCTCCTAAGATCTTTCCCCCTATGAGGGGGAAAGATAGTAACTTTACAATGGAGAAACCCAGCAGAAACCTGAACCAAATGAACAAGTTCAACATCATCAGTAAGAAAAACTATCAATGCCATAACTCTGATGGAATGCACTGGGAAGGATTCCACATCATTTTTGAGCTGTAATTGCCAAAAGTGCGTAACTTCAGTCCAATCATGGAAATACATCAGACAAACCCAAATCGAAGAACATTTGACAAATAGTGATCAGTACTGGTTCAAAATGTCACGGTTATGAAAGATAAGGAAAGATTGAGGAACTGTTATTGCAGTCCTACAAAACGGCGAGAGACTAAGAAATAACTAAATGCAGCGTGATCCTGGGTGGAATTTGGGAACAGAAAAAGGACATTAGTGGAAAAAGTGGTGAAACTCCAATAAGGTCTTTTGTTTAGCGAATATGTTCATTTTAAATTAGTTAAATTATTTAAATATATTTAAACATTATTTAAATGTATTTAATTAAATTAATAAAATTGGTTATTTTGTGAAATAATTTTAATATAGTTAAATATGCGAATGTGGATTTCCTGGTTCTGATCACCGTACTGTGGCTAAGAGGTGAATGTTCAGGGAGGCTGGGGGAGGAATAAATGGAAATTATACTATTAAGTTGGAAGAGAGAAACCTACCCCATCAGTCACGAAACCCTCACATTCATGGCAGTGTGTCGGAGGTTCCAGTATGAATGGCATTTCCCAGATGTCAGCGCGAGGTCCTGTGGAGGGAGTGGGGCTCCCTGGGAATCTAGTGGAGAGCATTCAGGTCTCCCTTCCTCAGGAGCCTGCCCTTCCTGCACAGAAGCGTCAGCCTCACCTCTGTACCACTGCCCCTCTGCCTCTCAGAACCCACTTGGCTTCAGGAAGATTCTACTGCCAGCCTCCTTTCCCGGATACAGCCTCCGGGGACTCAGCCTTGCCTTCTCAAGTGCTCCAGCCTCTCTTGGGAAGGAGTGCTCTCAGATACCACACCGCTGGACTTCCCCGGGCACCACCTGCTCCTTCTTCACTTCTCCAGCTCTGCATTCTCACTCTGAGGGTCCTCTCCTGCTGGGAGTGTGTGTTGCTGGCAACAGTGAAGATTTCCCCCCTGGGTTGCCCCCCATGCCCTGTTCTTCTGCACTTCCCTGGCTTCCTGCGTTGGTTCTGCTGGTGTCTCCTGCTTTTGGGTTTACGTGGCTTCCCAGCTTCCTAATTTCTCTGAAGTTGAGTTTGATGTGTGTGTTGATGATGGGCTTTTTCCTGCTCCTCCTCCTTCTCTTCCTCCTCCTCCTCCTCCTCCTCCTCAGTCTTGTTGTTGCTCCATATAGTTTCCAGAAGGAGAAAAGGGACACTGTAAAATTAAGCTGCTGCAGGCTGGGCACAGTGGCTCATGCCTGTAATCCCAGCCCTTTGGGAGGCCGAGGCAGGCGGATCACCTGAGGTCAGGAGTTCAAGACCAACCTGGTCAACATGGTGAAACCCCATCTCTACCAAAAATACAAAACTTAGCAAGGCGTTGGTGGCATGTGCCGGTAATCCCAGCTACTCGGGAGGCTGAGGCAGGAGGATCTCTTGAACGCAGGAGGCAGAAGTTGCAGTGAGCCGAGATCATGCTACTGCACTTCAGCCTGGGGAACAAGAGCGAAACTCCATCTCGAAATAATAATAATAATAATAATAATAATAATAATAATAATAATAATAATGCCATGTTTCTATCAGACCCAGAAATCCCGCAGAGTGAGCTGGAATTCTGTTTCTCTGTTTCCCCTCCATACCCACTGGCTCCTCTCTGCCCACTCCCTCTTGGACTGCATCACCAGGGTGCCTCACTGTCTGGCCCTAGTGGAATTCAAACAGTGGAGGATGTCATAGGAGGTGGGAGAGAGAGAGGAGAGGTGGTTATTCGCTCAGATTCTTCCTTGCTGGTTTGGCAGTGGCCACATCTTTCTACTGATGGCTGCAGCTCCTGATGATCCTCCTCTACCTCCACAGCTCTCTTTGGGATCTGTGGACACCTTTCCTGTCCCTCTAGACCCAGGGAGATAACAGCTCCCACTCTTGCTGGTCCAGGACATTCCTCATCTCTTACTGGTTCCCTTAACTCGGTCCACACTTCTGTGAACAGCCCCTTTCCTCAAATACCCATTCCAATATGTCCTCTGGCTTCCACCAGGAGCCTGACTGATACCCACAGGTGGGTGAATGCTGGCATGCTGCTGGGCCCCTCTTCCTCTGGTGACTGGCCAGCCAAGTCTCCAGGAGTCTCGTTAGGGTGGGCAGGTGGTGGGCACAGCACAAACTGTGAGCTCAAATCCACAGAGCAAAAGTGGGAGAAGACACTGGCAGGATGGACCGCCACAAAACTCTTGGCATTCGTGACGTCTGTCCTTTAAATCACGCAAGGCATCATCATGCTTCAGACATGAGACAGCCTAAGTATTTAAGTATTTCAAATAAACAAATTGTTTTTCAGAATTGGTCATTGCTAAGTTGGCAAATTGCTATTGGAAACGTTGGCTGTCCTTGACTCAATGATTCAGCCAGCTAGTCCCTTGCCAAACTAGTTTGTTGGGCAAATTCCACCTTGAGAATTTATCTGCTCCTGTCAAAGCCAGATTCTCCCTGCCTGAGGGGAGGCTGGACTTGACCTTCTGACTCAGGATATGCTGACTTGGGTCCCTAGGTCCAAGGGCGGCCCTCTTGGGCCCACCGTGGGCTGGACCTCTTCCATGATGGGGTGGTGGAGGGCAGGCCCCACCTGATTCACCCTTGACCTCATCCAGGCAGGTGAAGTTCCCTGCAGGAGTCACCTGAGCCCAGCCCCTCAGACCAGGATCCATCCTGTTTAGGAGGATTTGGGGCCATCTCATGTTCTTTGGCTAGAAAGGGGTCCCACTCTTAGGGGTCTGCCCTCTGTGGGGCACAGATGGCTTGCTGGGGCCCATGGACTGGGCTGGGTGGATGGGAATCTGGTCACAGCAGCAGCGGCTGGAAGGCCAAGAGGGAGGGCACCAGGGCCTGGGACCCATGTCTTGTCCTGGGCCTCCCCGGGCCTCTTGCCTTCTCCCCAGCAGGCATTTGGGATCTGTGTCTGGACCCAGCCTTGCCCAGAAGGCCATGGTGTGTTGTCATTAGAATCACAGTGCTCACACCAAGGCAGTGCATTAAATTAGCAGGGCAGGGTCTCATGGGCAGGGGACCATGTGGAGGGGGTGGGGGAAGGACAGTTGTCCCCCGAGGCTGCGGTGGGCCTGGCTCTGGTCTGGGCAGTGGGCCAGGGTCCTGCTGTGTGGCTGAGCTCTGACAACAGGCTGTCTGAGTCTGGTGAGCTCCTGAAAGCGGGGACTGGTGGAGAGTACCCTAGGGTGGGAGCTCGTGAGGAGGGGGTCTGTGGGGTCTGGAAGCCATTCTAGAGCAGGCAGATGACATTTATCAGCGGAACAGGCATAGAAAGGACCCTTGTGCGAGTGGGGGACACACAGCCTCAGAAGAAACAGGGAAGGGGCTTTGACAGGTCCAGGGAGAATCCCTGAGGTTTCCTAGAACAATTCCCACCAGCCATGTCCCAGGTGTCCCCCCATCCCCCAGGCCTCTGCAGTGCCAGCCCAATGCCCTGGGCAAAAACATCCTGGACTCTGGCTGTTACAAAAGGAGGACAGGGTCATCTGGACCCGCCTGAGCTCCAGGCCCCCGACTTTCACAGCCCCTTCTGGGTCCAGAAGTTCATACGTATATAAATGAAAAATGTGCAAGAATCATATTATTGTATTCTTTTTCATAAAGAGGGCCCCTCTAAATTGTTTAAGCCCCAATTCACCCCTGCCCAAAGGAGATAGCAATGGCATGTGTGGGGCCGTAGTCTTGAGACCCAGAGGTCCTGCTGCCCACGATACCCACTGTCCACCCTAGGGGGACTGGCCGTAGCCCTGGAGCCCGCAAACACCATGCAGGAATGCAAGAGGGTCTCAGCTCCCGAGTCCCAGGCTGGGAGGGCCCACAGTCCAGTAAACTAATCAGGCCCCAACACACCCAGGAGAGCAGCTCCAGGAGCCTGCATTGAAGAGAGAGCCTCAGACCCCTGCCACAGGCCTGCACCCCAGAAGTAGGAGGATGGGAAGACCTCTCCTTGGCTCCTGGCCAGCGGAAGTCACATTCCCCAGCCCTCTGGCTCCAAGGCAGCCTCACGTCCCAGTCACTCCTTGGCCCACCCTACCGGTTGGTCAGAGCTCACTGCCAAAGGGCACCTCAATGATGAGTGGAGGGAACAGGTGTTTACCAGGAGCTTGCATGCTTTGTCTCAGGGACGATTAGTGACACAGCCAGGAAGGCACGCTATCCCCATTTTACAGATGAGGAAACGGAGGCTCAGGTTGGGCTGGTGACTAAGGGAAGCAGCATGTGGCAGGTGGCTTGAGGCATGTCTGTCCATCATGAGTAACTAGGGAGCAGCCCTGCCACTCCTCATGTGATGCACCAGGAGCCAGGGAAGCTGCTTTCTAGGGGATTCTAGCTAAGGCCAGAAGCATCTCCCTGAGTGGTGGTGGAGGCCTCTGTCTACTCCTCCAGGACTGCCAGGGGATAGGAGGGCACTGCTGGCCTCACAGACACTCTTGGGTGAGTGAGCATCAGCTGAGCAAAGCCAGGTGACTACACTTCTGCCCAGTGCTGTGCCCCCCTCTGACTCAGGCAAGGCACCACCCTGAACGCCCCACCCTGTCCCATAGAGGCCACAAACTGCTCTGCAGAGCCAGGGTCTCCAGGAATGGGGAGGGCAGTCACCCTCACTCCACTTGTGTTCATGACCCAAAGGACTGCCCAGGTCTCCAGGCCCATAGAACCCCTAAACCTCTTACTAGGCCACACTGGGGACCTTGAGCAGCAGGCTTGGAATCCTAGGCCTTGTCTCCAGGTACATATCAGTACCCAGGCTTGGGAAGTTTTGGTCTCGGGGGGCTGGCACTCAGGCCCTCTGCCTCAAGGAAGAGGCATGTCCAGATCTCTCCTGTCCAGCCCTGCTCCCTGCCCCTATCCTTCACGGGGTCCCTAGGACAGGGTTACAGAAGCCTCAGGCTGTCAGGGGATGCTGCCACCCCAGTGCCAGGGTGGCTCCGCCCAGCCCCTTCCTGCTGCCGCCCTCGCTGACTCACCTGTCCAGCCTCCTACTGGGCTGGGGCAAGGGCTTGTTGCCCCAGAGCCTAGACAGGCACCAGAGGCAGCTATAAAAGCATGTTGGGCCAGTCCTCAGCATCCTAGTTCACCACTGTCTGCTGCCACACGATGCTGGGAGGCCTGGGGAAGCTGGCTGCCGAAGGCCTGGCCCACCGCACCGAGAAGGCCACCGAGGGAGCCAGTGAGGACCTGGGGCTCCTTTCTACCTGGGCTGGGGGGATCTGGGGCAGACTGGGTCTGTGGGAGGCGGATCTAAGTAGGCAGGTGAGGACCTGGGAGGAGGCCTTGGCCCCTCAGGAACCCTGGTCCCCTGCTCTACCAAGTCAGCACGGAGTTGAGGGGTGCAGACCTGGGGAGGTCTCCTGGGGGCAGGGCATGAGTCCTGGTGCTGGGTGAACACTGGCAGCTTGGACCCTTCCCTCTGGAAATCTGGGGAGCCTTTCTTGTCAAAACAGCCTATTCTGAATAACCTATGCAGGAAAAGGAAGATGGATTTTTATTTTTACCATAACTTTAAAGCTTCAAAGATTTCTAAACAAGTCACCAAGTCTGTTCAAAGTCAAAAAGGGCATTTTCAATTTCATCCAAGTCCCCTGAAGCATGTTTATTTTTATTTTTATTTGTATTTGAAATGGAGTCTTGCTCTGGCACCCAGGCTGGAGTGTAGTGGTGCGATCTCGGCTCACTGTAACCTCTGCCTCCTGGGTTCAAAGTGATTCTCATGCCTTAGCCTCCTGAGTGTCTGGGATTACAGGCACCCACCACCATGCCCAACTAATTTTTATATTTTTAGCAGAGACAGGGTTTCGCCATGTTGGCCAGGCTGGTCTCAAACTCCTGACCTCAAGTGATCCATTCCTCTTGGCCTCCCAAAGTGCTGGGATTGCAGGCGTGAACCACCGCACCTGGTCCCGAAGTGTATGTTGTATTCAGAGGTCAGCAGCTATGTGTGGGGAGGCCCAGCCAGGAGCCACTCATGGGTCATCGTGTGAAAAACAGTCTTGCCTGAGTTTGTGTCCTCTTTCTAAATGGCAGCAGACGCGTATTTTGTTTTTGACTCTGCAGCTGGTGTGGACCACCTGCTTTAACCTTTCACTAGCCTCTGAGTTTTGTATGATTCCTGTTGGGAGAAAAGCTGAGTGTTGGGAGAGAAGCTGAGGCAGGGCTTGCTAGATTGGCTGGCTCCTTGCTTCTAGCACTCCCATTTTCTCAAGTAGCCGTATGTTTCTCATTCACTTGATACACCGTTTCCTTTCAACCGCCACATCCTCACCACCTGTTTCTTTGTTAGATCACCAATAAATAGCATGGGTTCCCAGAACTCCGGGCCTTCGCAGCCTCCACACTCGCGATGGCGCCCCGCTCCCATTTTCTCTCTCAAACTGTCTCTTTCTCATTCCTTTGACTCCTCTGGACTTGCCGCCCCCGCGACCTGGTGTTGGGTCTCATCACCCCAACAGATTCCCATTCTAAAGATGAGGGAACCAAGAGGTGGAAGGTAGAGTTAGAATAAGAACCATTTCTTCTGACTCTGAAATCCTTCAGTTCTAGCATGCTACCACCTACACTTTAAAAAACTCTGAAGTAGGCAGAGAATTCCCTTTTGTTGGAGGAATTGCTTTGAGAGACCTGGTTTTACTGGATGAGGCTTTGGAAACCAACCTGAGGCAGGCGCTAGCACATCCTGAGAGGGGTGTGACCTGGCACAGAGGCCCAGCCTGGGCTTCATGTCTCAGCTGGCAAGATGGCCTGCTCATTGCCATTCCAGGCCGGGCAGGGCCAAGGGGCTTCAGGGACCCATGCCCTCATGGGGCTCACTGAGCTCGTCTCCCGGCAGCCAAGGCCCTGGCGTCTCCGAAGGAAGCCAGCTGTGGGGGAAGGTCCTTCTCATGAGCCAGTCTGTCCTGGCTGGGGGTGGCATCCCAGAGCCCCATCTAGGATGTCCAGGGATGTATAGGTCCATTGTGAGGATAAGCCAGCACTGAGCCCTCACCCTGGACTGGGAGGGCAGTGGGCCTGCTCTGAGCCCTCACCCTGGACTGGGAGGGCAGCGGCTCTGCTCTGAGCCCTCACCCTGGACTTGTCTCCTCTGTTCAGTTCATGCCGTGGAAGAAGTGGTGAAGGAGGTGGTGGGACACGCCAAGGAGACTGGAGAGAAAGGTACAGCTGGCTGAGGTCGGGCAGGGAAGGAGGGAGGGAGCAAGGGAAGCTAGGTGCTGGGCCAACCTGTTCTTTGACTAACCAGGTCAAACTCTGCCCCCAATGTTGCAGCCTTTCAGAGCCTCTTGGCTGGGGCAGTTATCTATGCTCATCAGAGGCCACAGACTGTACTGCGTTAGGGCACTGTCTAGATGGTTCTGTCTGTGGAATAAGAAGACAAAGTCACACAAGACTATGTGACAGCACACTGGGACAAAACATTTAACATGGCAGGGCGCGGTGGCTCACGCCTGTAATCCCAGCCCTTTGGGAGGCTGAGGAGGGTGGATCACGAGGTCAGGAGATTGAGACCATCCTGGCTAACACGGTGAAATCCCATCTCTACTAAAAATACATAAAAATTAGCCGGGCATGGTGGTGGGTGCCTATAGTCCCAGCTACTTGGGAGGCTGAGGCAGGAGAATGGTGTGTACCTGGGAGGCAGAGCTTGCAGTGAGCCTAGATCATGCCACTGCACTCCAGCCTGGGCTACAGAGTGAGACTCGGTCTCAAAAAAAAAAAAAGAAAAAAAAAATTGCTGGGTGTGGTGGCTCACGCCTGTGATCCCAGCACTTTGGGAGCCTGAGGTGGGCGGATCACGAGGTCAGGAGATCCAGACCACGGTGAAACCCCATCTCTACTAAAAATACAAAAAATTAGCTGGGCACGGTGGCGGGTGCCTGTAGTCCTAGCTACTCGGGAGGCTGAGGCAGGAGAATGGCGTGAACCCGGAAGGCGGAGCTTGCAGTGAGCCGAGATCGTGCCACTGCACTCCAGCCTGGGCGACAGTGTGATACTCCGTCTCAAAAAAAAAAAAAAATTTAACATGTAAAATTCTATGTTAAATGTTAAATTGATGTGTGTGAGCTATGAGTAGAACTATGTACAAAGCATATGTATATCTCATTCCTTTTCAACAAAATAGATTCCAGGTAGATGAAGGACTTAAATTTACATAAATGAATTTATTAACTTACTAGGAGATAACCATCTTAGCTCAGGCTGCTATTATAAAATACCATAGGCCAGGTGCAGTGGCTCACGCCTGTAATCCTAGCCCTTCGGGAGGCCAAGGTGGGTGGGCCACCTGAGGTCAGGAGTTCAAGACCAGCCTGACCAATATGGTGAAACCCCGTTGCTACTAAAAATACGAAAACCAGCTGGGCGTGGTGGCACATGCCTGTAATCCCAGCTACTTAGGAGTCTGAGGCAGGATACTCCCTTGAACCTGGGAGGCGGAGGTTGCAGTGAGCTGAGATTGCACCACTGCACCCCAGCCTTGGTGACAGAGCAAGACTCTGTCTCAAAAACAAAAACAAACCATAAACTGGGCGACTTAGAAACAACAGAAATTTCTCACACTCCTGGAGGATGGGAAGTCCAAGATCAAGGAAGGCACTGGCAGATTTGGCATCTGGTGAGGGAGTCTTTCTGGTTCGTGGATGGGCCCAGCTCTGTCCTCACATGGTGGAAGGAGCTAGCTCTCTGTGGTCTCTTTTATGTGGGTGCTAATTTCAACCTCCCAAAGGCCCCACCTCTTAATATCATTACATTAAGACTGAGGATTTCAACGTATGAGTTTTGAGGGGGAAGACATCATAAACATTTAGACATAGTAATAACATAAAAGACTTTGGCCTAATCTTGGAGAGGGGAGAATCTTTAGAACCATGACAAAAAAATCAGCGCCATAAAGGAAATATTAAGTAAATTTGACAATCCAAAACTGAAATTTTCTATAGCCAAAAAAAAAAAAACTATAAACCAAGCCAAAAGAAAAATTACACACTGATGAAAAATATTTGTCATAAAAATGATAATCCAATATAACAACCCAATATAAAAATGGTCAAAAGACATAAGCAGGCATTTTCCAGAAAAAAGGATAAGCAGGCAATGTACCCATGAGTAGATGCTCAGTCTCACTCACAGTTGAAGAAATGCAAGTTGTTGGGGAAATTAAAACCAAATTCAAATTCATTCTGCAGTAATCCTGCTGCCCTTGGTCCCATCGGGCCACTCCAGAGACTAATCCATTAAGATGGCCACATCCCACAGGCCACTCAAGGGGACACAAGTTCAGCGGGTGGATCACTAGGACATTCTTCCTCTTTCTTTCCAACAGCCATTGCTGAAGCCATAAAGAAAGCCCAAGAGTCAGGGGACAAAAAGATGAAGGAAATCACTGAGACAGTGACCAACACAGTCACAAATGCCATCACCCATGCAGCAGAGAGTCTGGACAAACTTGGACAGTGAGTGCACCTGCTACCACGGCCCTTCCCCAGTCTCAATAAAAAGCCATGACATGTGTACATTGAGCGCTGGATTTATACCCATTTGGATGGAAACACTAGGCAAAGTATTTTCTTGTTGATATAACATATTTTACATATTTATGGAGTACATTTAAGTATTTATTACATGCACAGAATAGTGATCAATCAGGGTGTTTGGGGTGTCTATCACCTTGAATATTTGGTATTACTATGTGTTGGGTACATTTCAAGTCCCTTCTTCTAGCTACTTTGTTTTTTTGTTTTTGTTTTTGTTTTTGTTTTGAGACAGAGTCTTGCTCTGTCGCCCAGGCTGGAGGGCAATGGTGTGATCTCGGCTCACTGCAACCTCTGCCTCCCAGGTTCAAGCAATTCTCCTGCCTCAGCCTCCCGAGTAGCTTGGACTACAAGCGCAGGCCACCACGTCCGGCTAATTTTTATTATTTTTATTTTTTTATTTTTTTAATTTTTAGTAGAGATGGGGTTTCACCATGTTAGCCAGGCTGGTCTCGAACTCCTGACCTCAGGTGATCTGCCTGCCTGGGCCTCCCAAAATGCCCAGGGATTATAGGCATGAGATACTGTACCTAGCCTTCTAGCTACTTTGAAATATACAATACATTGCTGCTAACTATAGTCACCCTAGGTGAAGTATTTTTCAACAGAAACACTTTGCATGTCCCCCGTGTCTCCTCTGTTGAGGTGGACACTGGCACTGGGGCCCCTGCTGCTGGCTGGATAGGTCCTCATGATGAATCAGATGCTTCTCTGTCATGCTAAGTAAGATCTTTCATGTCAGGAAGGGGCTCTTCTGGAAGAATAGTTAGTGTCTGTGCTACATTTCCTAAAAAACTGTTTCCCCGGAAACTATATGTAACTTTCAGGTGCCTCAGTGCTTCAAGACATGCTAAGGGAGGACCCTCATTTGTCTTGCATGTTTTTGGGATTTTTCTTGAGATGTTTTTGCAGGACTCAGGGCAGATAACAGACCAGCTTGATGAAGAATTTAGCAAGGAAGGCCCCCACTGAGCTGCTTCCTGTTCTCGCAGAGATCAGATAAGCATTTCTGCTGGAGAGTTACAGAATCTGGTCAAGGAGAGACTGAGTCACTGCTCAGTCATCCTAGAAGCTGCTGTTGATTTTTTTTTTTTTAAGACGGAGTTTCACTCTGTTGCCCAGGCAGAAGTGCAGTGGCACGGTCTTGGCTCACTGCAACCTCTGCCTACTGGGTTCAAACAATTCTCCTGCCTCAGCCTCCCCAGTAGCTGGGACTACAGGTGCCCGCCACCACTCCTGGCTAATTTTTTGTATTTTTAGTAGAGACGGGGTTTCACCATGTTAGCCAGGATGGTCTCGATCTCCTGACCTCATGATCCACCTGTCTTGGCTTCCCAAAGTGCTGGGATTACAGGCGTGAGCAACCGTGCCCAGCCCAGAATATTTAGCGACTGATGTCAGGCCTAAGTGTTGATAGTGGGTATTAGTGGGCAAGATGCCTGGCCTTCTCTCTTTCTTCTCATGAGCAAGTCAGTATCATAGAGGTTAAACATATCTTTAAGTAGCATTTAACTTAACATTTTTTTAATTAAAAAAAAGAGAAGTAATTTGTAAAAATATTGCATCCCCTATTTCTCTTGCTGGAAGCTATTTGTTCTTAGCAGAAATGAGAAGAAAAGGTGTTTTGCTTAAAAAATAAGTGAGCTGCTCACCCTTTTTCTGGATCTCATCTAGAAGTGGCCTCACAGTTTGTGAACAGCCCAGGAATAGCCAATGTCTTAGCTTTGGAATGTTTGCCACTTTCCAGCTACAGTGGACCTTGTATCCTGGTTTGGTTCCTGATGACTTTCAAATTCTCCTGATCCAAACGCAAGCTCAGAGGCATCAGCACATTGTTGGTGGCAGTACAGACTGAAACACCCTTTTTGGATGGCGGTTCCTCTCACAGGACTTTATTCGCCAGGTGTGCACAGGCACACACAGGTGCCCAAAGGATAAACACACAGATCTACTGTAGCATATTTGTATTACTGAGAGATTAGAAACATCCTAAAATGTTAACCAAATCACTTGGATGAAAAGTTTTGCTCTGCTTATTAGGTTTGGCATACAATATGGAGGTGACATCTATTACTTCCAGTGTATTATAGAGTTTAGCTTGAAAAATGAGACCTGTACCTAGATGGGCACCAAAAGGGACTGGTTAACAAATATTGCATATACAGGGGTATGGGGCGGCTCCAGGGCCAGGGATGGGACGGCCGCAGTTGCGGCAGCTCCAGGACGAGCAAGTGGATCCCGGGAAGCGCTGTGAGCTCCCGAGCCAGCCGGGAGGACGCTTACTACAGCTGCTCAGAAGCACCGCTGGAAGCTCAGATGTGAGCGCCCCAGCCAGAAGCCTAGAGGGGTACAGGGAAGCTACCGAGAAGCCCCTCCTGATGCCCCAGGGAGCAAGCCAACTCCTTCCAGGCTCCAGGAACACCACAAAGCAATATGAAACCTGTTCATGAGAGGAGTCAGGAATGCCTTCCACCAAAGAAACGAGACCTCCCCACAACCAGCTGCTCCACTAACCACATACCCTCCAGTGATGCCTCTGAATGGTTCCCAGGGGTTGTGGTGGCCGGGCAGAGCCAGGCAGGAGCCAGAGTCAGCCTGGGGGTGATGGAGCTGTGGCCATCACCGGTCTGACAGTGGACCAGTATGGCATGCTGTATAAGGGGGCTGTGCCACCTGCCACCTTCTCACCAACTGGACTCCCATCTGTGTGAATATGAGCCCCTTGCCCCTGGAAAAAAATATTGCACGTACAGTTGATTAAATGGAATGCTCCATGGCTACTAGGAAGGATGAAAATGGGTTGGGCATGGTGGCTCACGCCTGTAATCCCAGCACTTTGGTAGGCCGAGGTAGGCAGATAACCTGAGGTCGGGAGTTTGAGACCAGCCTGACCAACATGGAGAAACCCCATGTCTTCTAAAAATACAAAATTAGCCGAGCGTGGTGGCTCATGCCTGTAATCCCAGCTACTCAGGAGGCTGAGGCAGGAGAGTCACTTGAACCTGGGAGGCGGATGTTGCAGTGAGCCGGGATCGTGACATAACACTCTAGCCTGGGCAACAAGTGCAAAACTCCATCTCAAAAAAAAAAGAATGATGAAAATGTCTGGGCATAGTGCCTCACACCTGTAATCCCAGCACTTTGGGAACTGAGATGGGAGGATTGCTTGAGTCCAGGAGTTCAAAAACATAATGAGACTTGTTTCTCCAAAAAAAAAAAAAAAAAGTTATTTTATTATTTATTTATTTTTGAGTCAGGGTCTTGCTCTGTCACCCAGGCTGGATTTCAGTGGCATGATTTCGACTCACTGCACCCTCCACCTCTTGGGCCCAAGTGATTCTCCTGCCTCAGCCTCTCGAGTAACTGGGATTACAGGCACCTGCCACCATGCCCAGCTAATTTTTGTATTTTTAGTAGAGACGGAGTTTTACCATGTTGGCCAGGATGGTCTCAAACTCCTGACCCCAAGTGATCTGCCTGCCTTGGCCTTCCAAAGTGCTGTGATTACAGGCATGAGCACCAGGCCAAAAAAAAATTTTTTTTTAAACTTAGCTGGGTTAGTCAGGAGGCCAAGATGGGAGGATCCCTTGAACCGAGGAGCTTGAGGCTGCAGTGACCTGTCATTAGGCCACTGTACTCCCGTCTGGGCAACAGAGTGAGATGCTGTCTCAGGAAAAAAATATTTTAAAAAAGAATGATGAAAATGTAATATGTCATTAGGGAACATGTCCTAATAATGTAATAACATATATATGTAGAATAAGTTCATTTTTATAAAGCAAGTATATAATTGTATAAGAGTACAAAAAAATGGCCAGGCATAGTGGCTCGTGCTTTTAATCCCAGCATTTTTGGAGGCCAAGGTGGGCGGATCACCAGAGGTCAGGAGTTCGAGACCAACTTGGTCAACTTAGTGAAACTTCGTCTCCACTGAAAATACAAAAATATTAGCTGGGTGGGCATGGTGGCAGGTGCCTGTAATTCCAGCTACTTGGGAGGCTGAGGTGGGAGAATTGTTTGAACCCGGGAGGCAGAGGATACAGTGAGCCAAGTTCGTGCCACTGGACGTTAGCCTGGGTGACAGAAAAAAAAAAAAGAAGACAAAAAAAAAAAAGAATAAACCTGGTATCATATATGTAGCACACATATTAGCAGTGATCATCTTTGTGATTCTATGGGAATATGGGAAATCCTCATTTTCTACATTACATATTTACATGATGCTTGAATTGAAGAGAAAACCAATACGGATATTTTTTAAATTGTGGTTGTGGAGGGCAATACTAACTTATTCAAGATTATTCCTAGTAAAGGGCTACTCAAAATTTACTGGTTTGAAAACTTTGTTGTCACATGATAATTGAGAGCATTTGGGAACTCTTACAGCAAGTTGATATTGCCCAGACTTCCAGAAGTGTCATCAGTAGATGGTTCTTGTTGAATAGGGTATAGACCGCCTTGGGTTACTGAGCTTGCATGGCTAGTTGCATGTAAACTAGTCACATGCAGTAAAACCACATACCACACCAGGCGCAGTGGCTCAAACCTGTAATCCCAGCACTTTAGGAGGTGGAAGCAGGTGGATCACCTGAGGTCAGAAGTTCAAAACCAGCCTGGCCAACATGGTGAAAACCCTTTTCTACTAAAAATACAAAAGTTAGCCAGGTGTGGTGGCACATGTCTGTAATTCTGGCTATTTGGGAGGCTGAGGTGAGAGAATTGCTTGAACCTGGGAGGCAGAGGTTTCAGTGAGCCGAGATTGTGCCACTGCACTCCAGGCTGAGTGACAGAGAGTGTCTCCATCTCAAAAAAAAAAAAAAAACAAAAAAAAACAAAAACAAAAAAAAGGATGCCAAATCAAACATAACATTTCAGAAATCTATCATAGGATAGCCAGGCACGGTGGCTCATGCCTGTAATCCCAGCACTTTGAGAGGCTGAGGCAGGCAGATTATGAGGTCAGGAGATCAAGACCATCCTGCCCAACATGGTGAAACCCCGTCTCTACTAAAAATACAAAAATTAGCCTGGTGCAGTGGTGGGTACCTGTAGTCCTAGCTACTCAGGAGACTAAGGCAGGAGAATCACTTGAACCCGGGAGGTGCAGGTTGCAGTGAGCCAAGATCACCCAGCCTGGGCAGCAAGAGCGAAACTCTGTCTCCAAAAAAAAAAAAAAAAAAAAAAAAGAAATTTATCATAGGATTATATGAGGAGACCAATTTTATTTATATAGGAACTATCTATCTTTTTACTAGATCTCTGAGCTCTGGGCAGAGCCCACACTGAATCCTGGATCTCCAAAAAGGGAGAATTATTATGAGGCTAGAATATGTGATGCTTTTTCAGTGCACTTAAAAAATTTTTTTAAATGAAGACACTTCTGTGTCCGGAATTGGTGGGTTCTTCATCTCACTGACTTCAAGAATGAAGCTGCAGACTTTCGCGGTGAGTGTTATAGCTCATAAAGGCAGTGCGGACCCAAAGAGTGAGCAGCAGCAAGATTTATTGCAAAGCGCGAAAGAACAAAGCCTCCACAGCGTGGAAGGGGACCCGAGCTGGTTGCTGCCCCTGGCTGGGGCAGCCTGCTTTTATTCCCTTATCTGACCCCACCCACATCCTGCTGATTTGCCCATTTTACAGAAAGCTGATTGGTCCATTTTACAGAGAGCTGATTGGTCTGTTTTGACAGGGTGCTGATTGGTGTGTTTACAATCCCTGAGCTAGACACAGAGTGCTGATTGGTGTATTTACAATCCTATAGCTAGACATAAAAGTTCTCCAAGTCCTCACTAGATTTGCTAGACACAGAGCACTGATTGGTGCATTTACAAACCTTTAGCTAGACAGAGAGTGCTGATTGGTGTGTTTACAAACCTTGAGCTAGACACAGAGCACTGATTGGTGCATTTACAAACCTTGAGCTAGACACAGAGTGCTGATTGGTGCATTTACAAACTTGAGCTAGACACAGAGCACTGATGGGTGCATTTACAATCCTTTAGCTAGACATAAAAGTTCTCCAAGTCCCCACCAGATTAGCTAGATACAGAGTGCTATTGGTGCATCCACGAACCCCAAGCTAGACACAGAGTGCTGACTGGTGCATATACAATCCTCTGGCTAGACATAAAAGTTCTCCAAGTCCCCACCTGACTCAGGAGCCCAGCTGGCTTCGCCTAGTGTATCCTGAGCCAGGGTTGTGGTCAGAGCTGTCCACCAGTCCCGCACCATGCACCTGCACTCCTCAGCCCTTGGGCGGTCGATGGGACTGGATGCCACGGAGCAGGGGGTGGCACCCGTCAGGGAGGCTCAGGCTGTGCAGGAGCCCACCACTGGGGGGTTCGGCATGGCCAGCTGCAGGTCCCGAGCCTTGCCCCGCGGGGAGGTGGCTGAGGCCCGGCAAGAATTCGAGTGCGGCGTGGGCGGGCCGGCAGTGCTGGGGGAACTGGCGCCCCCTCCGCAGCTGCTGGCCTGGGTGCTAAGCCCCTCACTGCCCTGGGCTGGCCGGCCACTGCAAGTGCAGGGCCCACCAAGCCCACACCCACCCAGAACTCGCACTGGCCTGCGAGTGCCCCCCTTGTTCCCACCCGCACCTCTCCCTCCACACCACCCCGCAAGCAGAGGGAGCTGGCTCCAGCCACGGCCAGCCCAGAGAGGGGCTCCCACAGTGAAGTGGCAGGCTGAAGGGCTCCTCAAGCATGGCCAGAGTGGACGCCGAGGCCAAGGAGGTGCTGAGAGCGAGCGAGGGCCCCCAGCACATTGTCACCTGTCACTTCTAATGTCTAAACTACACTCTTCCTTAAAAACCAGAGTAGTCTTTGGTGCAATAATTCTTTTAGTCAATAAGTCAGGTAACACAATACAAAAGCAAGCAGTTTAAGAGCTGAGATGAACTTGTCTGTTTACACTCATGGGGTTTCATAAGGAAAAACAGGTTTCTCCCCAAAAGGGAGTCTGGTGCCTTCTCTGCTTTCTTGAAGGAAAGCCAGGCTATTATAAACTAAAATATTTTAGGTGCCTCATGCAGCAGAGGGTGCAAGAGAAAGGAGAGACAGCAGAAGTAAATGAAAAAAAAAAAAGAATTCAGTCAAATGAGAAAAAAAATCTTTAGGTTAAAAAAGAGAGAGAGACAAGGTCCTAGGAGAAAAAAAAAAGTGAATGTCTTTTCAATATAAACACACACACATACACACCCACACACACATACACGCACAAACACACACACATGCACACATCTTGGATGTTAGCTTTTAGTTAAGCTGACTTTTAATCATTGAGCTCCTTTAAAAAAATCTTTTTAAATCTCATTACCATAATTCAGCTAGAACAAATTTCTGCTATTTCAGAAGTACCAAGTATCAAACCAAAAATGGCTTGATTTAGGAAACACACCCAAGCTGTCGTGGTGGAAAAAAAGAAGCCAGAGCCCTTAGCTATGGAACTGCAGTGTGGGGTGACAGCCATTGCTCTTTCGGTTTGGCCAGGCTAGCAAAAAGGTGGCCTCGTTATGTAAATAAAGCCCATTAAGTAGTCAAAATAAAAAATCTTTCCTGTTTTTTTTTTCTTTTCTTTTTTTTCCTTTTGTTGGCCGTTTTTCTCCCCCACCACAGTGTGGGAATTTAGCCACTTCAGAGGTCTTGTTCCCCATAATTTGGAAGTTTCCTTTGGATTTGATCAAGTTGGATAGAGTTGATCAATCACAACGGGGAAAAGACTGAAACAACAACAAAAACAGAAACAAACAGACAACAACAACAAAAATAATTAAGCAAAACAAAGATGGCACAACTTATGCAACTACTGAGTGCTGTAATGGTAAAGAGAAATTACAACCAACTGGTTGTTAATCTTGACCTTAGCCAAGACAAACCGCATTTCAGTTACCCATCCTTAGGTAAGGCATGGGTCTCAGGCTGAAGACTGCTCTTTACCATCCTAGAAGCAGGAAAAAACTCAAATTTGTCTTCCCCATTGGACGCAAGCTCAAACTCCATAAAGGAGTTACCTGCATTTTATCATCATCGAAGCAGGAAAAACTTGCCTTTCTTGTGTTGGAAGCTAGTAAAACTCCAAAAAAAGGAGTTGTACAGCAAAATAAACTTTAGATCTTGACCAAATTTTGAAAGATCAGTGATTCTCTGGAGGGGTTGCTTCCAGGTCTCAGCAAATTGTCCTATTGGTTTGAGCCATAAAGATAGTTCAAGCTAGTACCGAGCACTGATAGGAGATTTGTCAAAGGTCAGGGGCACCTCCACCCAGAATCCCTTCATGGTTGCCAAAATGTGAGCCTTGAATATCTGAGAAAGGTCTCAGTTAATTTAGAAAGTTTATTTTGCCAAGATTGAGGATGCACACCTGTGACACAGCCTCAGGAGGTCCTGATGACATGTGCCCAAGGTAGTCAGGGCACAGCTTGGTTTTATACATTTTAGGGAGACATGAGACATCAATCAATATATGGAAGATATACATTGGTTCTGTCAAGAAAGGTGGGACAGCTCAAGCAGCAAGAAGGCTTCCAGGTCACAGGTAGGTGAGAGACAAATGGTTACATTCTTCTGAGTTTCTGATTAGCCTTTCCAAAGGAGGCAATCAGATATGCATTTATCTCAGTGAACAGAGGGATGACTTTGAATAGAATAGGAGGCAGGTTTGCCCTAAGCAGTTTCCAGCTTGACTTTTCCCTTTAGCTTAGTGATTTTGGGGCCCCAAGATTTATTTTCCATTCACTGTGTGTGTGTGTTTGTGTAGGTATACATACATATATGTGTGTATATATATATATATATACACACACACACAAACAAACAAATGAAAAATCTCATTAAGAACAGCAAGCGGTATGGTATTTTTAACTTGCCCTATTCTATTCTCATCCCCTCCTCACTGGCTCCACTGCAGCCTTGAAAATTAACAGAATGGGATTGGTGAGAGAGGGCATGCTTGTCTTGTGTCGGTTTTCAGTGGGAATGCTTCCAGTTTTTGCCCATTCAGTAAGATGTTGGCTGTGGATTTGTCATACATGGCTCTTGTTATTTTGAGGTATGTTCCTTCAATATCTAGTTTATTGAGAATTTTTAACGTGAATGGGTGTTGATTTTTATTAAAAGCCTTTTCTTCATCTATCGAGATAATCATGTGGTTTTTGTCTTTAGTTTTCTTTATATGACAAATCACATGTATTGATTTGTATTTTTTTTTTTTTTTGAGACGGAGTCTTGCTCTGTCGCCCAGGCTGGAGTGCAGTGGCGTGATCTCGACTCACTGCAAGCTCCGCCTCCTGGGTTCACACCATTCTCCTGCCTCAGCCTCCTGAGTAGCGGGGATTACAGGTGCCTGCTACCACACCCAGCTAATTTTTTTTATTTTTAGTAAGGGAAGAGACCACCCCTCATATTGTCTTATGCCCGATTTCTGCCTCCAAAGAAAGAAAAAGTAAAAACTAAAAGGGAGAAGTGAAATCCACAAGCAGACAGCCTGGTGCCACACCCTGGGCCTGGTAGTTAAAGATCGACCCCTGACTTAATCAGTTATGTTATCTATAGATTACAGACATTGTATAGAAAAGCACTGTGAAAATCTCTATCCCGTTTTGTTCCAATCTAATTACTGGTGCATGCAGCCCCCAGTCATGTACCCCCTGCTTGCTCAATCAATCATGACCCTCTTGCGTGCACCCACTTAGAATTGTGAGCCCTTATAAAGGACAAGAGTTGCTCACTCAGGGAGCTTGCCTCTTGAGACAGGAGTCTTGCTGATGCCCCCAGCCGAATAAACCCCTTCCTTCTTTAACTTGGTGTCTGAGTTTTGTCTGCAGCTTATCCTGCTACATTAGTAGAGATGGGGTTTCACTGTGATAGCCAGGATGGTCTTGATCTCTTGACCTGATGATCTGCCCGCCTCAGCCTCCCAAAGTGCTAGAATTACAGATGTGAGCCACTGTACCCGGCCCAATTTGTATATGTTGAACCAACCTTGCATCCCAGGGATAAAGCCTACTTAACTGTGATGGGTAAGCTTTTTGATGTGCTGCTGGATTCAGTTTGCTGAGTTTTGTTGAGAATTTTTGCGTTGATGTTCACCAAGGATATTTGCCTGAAGTTTCCTTTTTTTGTTGTGTCTCTGCCAGGTTTTGGTATCAAGATGATGCTGGCCTCACAGAATGAATTATGAAGGAGAAAGAGTCCCTCCTCCTCACTTTTTTGGAATAGTTTCAGCAGGAATGGTACTAGCTCTTCTTTGTACATCTGGTAGAATTCAGCTGTAAATCTGTCTGGTCTTGGGCTTTTTTTGTTGTTGTTAGGCTATTTGTTACTGATTCAATTTCAGAGCTCATTCATTATTGGTCTGTTCAGGGATTCAATTTTTCCCTTGATCAGTCTTGGGAGGCTGTATGTGTCCAGGAATTTGTCCAATTCTTCTAGATTTTCTTTTCTTTTTCCTTCTTTTTTTTTTTTTTTTTGAGACAAAGTCTCACTCTGTTGCCCAAGCTGGAGTGCAGTGGCACGATCTCTGCTCACTGCAATGTCCACCTCCTAGGTTCAAGCGATTCTCCTGCTTCAGCCTCCTGGGTAGCTGGGACTACAGGCACGCGCCACCATGCCTGGTTAACTTTTTTATTTTTATTTTTAGTAGAGATGGGGTTTCACTATGTTGGCCAGGCTGGTCTTGAACTCCTGGCTTCAAGCAATCTGCCCGCCTCAGCCTCCCAAAGTGCTGGGATTACAGGTGTGAGCCACTGCACCCGGCCTCATTTATTCTAGATTTTCCTGTGTGTGCATAGAGGTATTCATAATATTCTCTGATGGTTATTTGTATTTCTTTGGAGTCAGTGGTAATATCTTCTCCATTGTTTCTGATTATGTGTATATGGATTTTCTCTCTTATTAGTCTAGCTAGCAGTCTTTCTATTTTATTGATTCTTTTCAAAAAAATCAACTCCTGGATTCATCGATCTTTTGAATACTTTTGTGTTTCAATCTCCTTCAGTTCTGATTTTGGTTATTTATTGTCTTCTGGCTTTGGGGCTGGTTTTCTCTTGGTTCTTTTATTATTTTAGTTGTGATGTTAGGTTGTTAAATTGAGATATTTCTAACTTTTTGATGTGGGCATTTAGTGTTGTAAATATCCATCTTAAAACTGCTTTGGTTGTGTCCCAGAGATTCTGGTATGTTGTATCTTTTTTTCTCATTCATTTCAAAGAACTTCTTAATTTTGGCCTTAAGTTAATTATTTACCCAGAAGTCATTTAGGAGCAGGTTATTCAGTTTCCATGTAATTGTATGATTTTGAGTGAATTTCTTAGTCTTGATTTCTAATTTGATTTCACTATGGGCTGAGAGGTTGGTTGTTATGATTTGAGTTCTTCTGCATTTGCTGAGGAGTATTTTGTGTATGATTCTGTGACTGATTTTGGAGTATGTGTCATGTGGTGATGAGAATGTATATTCTGTTATTTTTGTGAGGAGAGTTCTGTAGATGTCTATCAAGTCCATTTGATCCAGTGCTGAGTTCAAGTCCCGAATATCATTGTTAATTTTCTGCCCCAGTGATGTATCTATTACTGTCAGTGAGATGTTAAAATCTCCCACTACTATTGTGTGGGAGTCTAAGTCTCTTTGAAGGTCTCTAAGAACTTGCTTTATGAATCTGGGTGCTCCTGTTTTGGATGCATAAATACTAATACTTAGAATAGTTAAGTTTTCTTGTTCAATTGAACACTTTACCATTATGTAATGCCCTTCTTTGTGTTTTTTGGTCTTTGTTGGTTTGTAAAGTTTGTTTTGTCTGAAATTAGGATTGCAGCCCCTGATTTTTTTCTGTTTTCCATTTGCTTGGTAGATTTTTCTCCATCCCTTTATTTTGATCCAGTGGGTGTCATAGCATGTGAGATGAGTCTCTTGAAGATGGCATACCAATGAGTCTTAATTCTTTATCCAGATTGCCATGGTGTGCCTTTTAATTGGGGCATTTAGCCCATTTACATTCAAGGTTAGTATTGATATGTGTGGATTTGATCTTGTCATCCTGATGTTAGCTGGTTATTACGCAGTCTTGTTTGTGTGGTTGCTTTATGCTGTCACTGCTCTGCATACTTCAGGATGTTTTTGTAGTGGCTGGTATGGTCTTTCCCTTTCACATTTAGTGCTTCCTTCAGGAGCTTTTGGGCAGATCTTGTCATAACAAATTCTCTCAGCATTTGCTTGTCTGAAAAGGATCTTATTCCTCCTTCACTTATGGAGCTTAATTTGGCTGGATATGAAATTCTCAGTTGGAATTTCTTTTTATTAAGAATGTTGAAGATAGGCTGCCTATCTCTCCTGGCTTGTTGGGGTTCTACTGAGAGGTCCACTGTTAGCCTGATGGGGTCCTTTTGTAGGTGACCTGACCTTTCTCTCTAGCTGCCTTTAACTTTTTTTTTTCATTTTGACCTCAGAGAATCTAATGAGTATGTGTCTTGGGGATGATCTTCTTGTGAAGTTTCTTACTAGGGTTCTCTGCATTTCCTGAATTTGAATGTCGGTCTCTCTAGCTAGGTCGGGGAAGTTCTCATAAATGATATCCTGGAATACACTTCCCAAGTTGCTTATACTCTCTCTATCTCTTTCAGGGACACCAGTGAGTCGTAGATCTGGTCTCTTTACATAATCCCACATTTCTCAGAGGTTTTGTTTCTTCCTTTTAATTTTTTTTTCTTCATTCTTGTCTGCGTGTCTTCTTTCAGAAAGCCAGTCTTCAGCCCCTGAGATACTTTCTTCCACTTGGTCTATTCTGCTATTAATGTAATTCTTGTAGTGTGTTTTTTAGCTCTATCAAGTTGGCTACATCCTTTTTTGTACTGGCTATTTTTTCTGTTGGCTCTTGCATTGTTTTATCCTGATTCTTAGCTTCCTTAGATTGGCTTTCAACATACTCCTGCATATCGAAGATCTTCATCCCAATCCATATTCTGAATTCTATTTCTGTCATTTCAGCCATCTCAGCCTGGTTCAAACCCCTTGCTGGAGAGGTGGTGCAGCCGTTTGGAGGAAAGAAGGCACTCTGGTTTTTTGAGTTGTGAGAGTTCTTGCACTGGTTCTTTTTTATCTTTGCAGGGTTATTTTCCTTCAATCTTTGAAGCTGCTGACCTTTGGATGGGTTTTTTTCCTTTTATCCTATTTGACGACCTTGAGGGTTTCACTGTGGTATAAGGTGGATTCAGTCAACTGGCTTCATTTCTGGAAGAGTTTAGAGGACCAACACTGAGCTCCCAACTCCTGGACTGTGTGCTGTAACCCTGGAGGACTTGTATCGAGCCCCAACTTTGTTCTGTCTCCTCAAGGATAAGAATCCACTGCACTGGGTGAGCCAAGATGCTCTCAGACTGCTGGTCACTACACTCTAACGGGTGATGTCAGCCAAAGCTTTTAGTAGTGCAGAGACAGTGGAATCCATCCCCATTTGCATGTGCCAGCGGCAGTGGCAGCAGCAGCATGGCTGCAGTAGGGTGCTAGTGGGTGCTGGCATGCCTGCCTCTGTGGCAGCATTTACCACAGCAGCAAAGGGAACACAGCTGGCAGGGTGGGGGCCCCTTCTGGTGTCTGTGCATGTGGTTGCACCAGTAGTGGTGTTGACATGGCAGCAGGGTGCTGGAGAGCGCTCAGGGTAGGGAAGAGTCTGCTGTTCTCTGTGCCTAGTTTCACTTGGAGCAGTGCTGGCAAATGGGTGGGGCACTGGCAGGGGAGGGGTTGGGGCTGGCTGGCTCTGTGCCCACCAAGGCTCTGACTACAGTGGTGGTCAGAAGGGAGAGTGGAGCAGACTGCACTCCTGCTGCAGTACTTGCAGGGCAGGGTGTACACATACATGCAGGCTGGCAGGACAAGATAAGCAGAAGCTGCCCATGCACACACATGTTGGCAAAGCCATGTGCGGTGTTACCGTGGGCCTTGGGGAAGATGCAGTGTAGAAGGAGTGTGTGCACTGGTGTGTGGCCCTGGGAGCTGCCCCGGGGGAGCTCTTCGCATTTCAGGCATGGTCCACCAGCACTGGAGCTATGATGTGGGCCCCTAGGGTGCTCAAGGCTTCCCTGCAATCAGGCATGGCCAGGCTGGACCCTCAGAGAGGCCAGCGAACCAAGGAGTGCTCAGGTAGGACCAGCCCTGCCTGATGAGTAAGACTGCATTGCGAAGTTCAGGCCCAGTGGTTCCCTTAGGGTGAAAGTCTCCTATGGGAGCAAGTTGAGTCTAGGGGTGTGGCTGTCCTTGGCTGTGCTCCACTACAGCTGCTCTCACACCAAACCCTCTGGGTTCATCAGCTGGCTGCTGCCCTGGCTGCTTCTCCAAGCTTCTCTCCCTTGCAACTCTACTGTCCATGATGCTCAAAGGATCTCCTGCCAGGATTCCAGAGGCTGGACATAAGAAGCATTGCTTCTTGCAAGTTCAACTCACCCTTTCCCCCAGTCATTGGGGGCCAGGAATGAGTTCCAGGGTGCAGTAGCCCCATGCAGGCCTCCCAGCTTACTACCCCTTTAGCCTAGCTTCTGTGTCTTCCCTCCATCTACTCTCAGTGCCTTCCCTCTGAAGATCCATTAGTAGTGCACCAGTCAAATCAGTCCCTCGGTGGCAGCTGTTGCACCTGGCTGCATCTAGTTGGCCATCTTAACATGTATATTTCCATAACTAATTTTTGTGTGTTGATTTTGTACCCTGCAATTTTGCTGAATTAAAATTAGCTCTAGTAGGTTTATTTGTTTGTTTGCTTTTTGGCTCTGTCACCCAGGCTGGAGTACAGTGGTGCAATCTTTGGCTCACTATAACCTCCACCTCCTGGCTTAAGTGATCTTCCCACCTCAGCCTTCTGAGTAGCTGGGACTACAGGTGTGAGCCACCACACCTTGCTAGTTTTTGTACTTTTTGTAGAGATGGGGTTTTGCCATGTTGCCCAGGCTGGTCTTGAACTCTTGGGCTCAAGCAACCTGCCTGCATTAACATCCCAAAGTGTTGGGATTACAGGTGTGAGCCACCATGCCTGGCCAGTAGGTTTATGTATGGGTATATGTGTGTGTATGTATTCTCTTTTCTTGTTATAGGTCTATTGAGATTTTCTATTTCTTCTTAAGTCATATTTGGTAATTTGTGTGTTTCTAGGAATCTACATTTTATCTAGATGTCTAATTTTTGGAATATAATTTTTCATAGTATTGTCTTAAAAATCTTTAAAATTTCTGTAAGATCAGTAATAATGTCACCATTTTCTTTCTGATTTTAGTTATTTACTATTCTCTTTTTTTTTCTGAGTCAGTCTAACTAAAGGTTCATCAAATTTGTTTTTTTTTCCCATGAACCAACTTTTTGTTTTGACAATTATTTTTCCTCTATTCTCTATTTCATTCTGCTTTAATCTCTAGTATTTCCTTCCTTCAGCTGGCTGTAGGTTTAGTTAGCTCTTCTTTTACACCTTAGGTCAAGCTTGTCCAACATGCAGCCCAGGATAACTTTGAATGCAGCCCAACACAAATTCATAAACTTTACAAATAACAGAAAACAGTATGAGATTTTCTTGAGGTTTTTTTTTTTTTTTTTTTTTAGTTCATCACCTATTGTTAGGGTTAGTGCATTTTATGTGTGGCCCCGTAGCAGGACGAGCTGCAGACAAAACTACTCAGACACTGAGTTAAAGAAGGAAGGGGTTTATTCGGCTGGGGGCATCAGCAAGACTCCTGTCTCAAGAGCGAAGCTCCTTAAGTGAGCAATTCCTGTCCCTTTTAAGGGCTCACATCTCTAAGGGGGTGCGCATGAGAGGGTCGTGATCGATTGAGCAAGAAGCAGGTGTGTGACTGGGGGCTGCATGCCCTGGCAATTAAGAACAAAACAGGACAGGGATTTTCACAGTGCTTTTCTATACAATGTCTGTAATCTATAGATAACATAACCGATTAGGTCAGGGGTCGATCTTTAACTACCAGGCCCAGGGTGTGGCGCTGGGCTGTCTGCTTGTGGATTTCATTTCTGCCTTTTAGTTTTTTCTCTTTCTTTCTTTGGAGGCAGAAACTGGGCATAAGACAATATGAGGGGTGGTCTCCTCCCTTAGCCCAAGACAATTATTCTTCCAATGTGGCCAGGGAAACCAAAAGGTTAAATACCCCTTAGGTGTAAAGTTAGGTTGTTAATTTGAAATCGTTCCTTTTATCTTTTCTTTTTTTTTTTTTTTTTGAGATGGAGTCTTGCTCTGTCACTAGGTTTGAGTACAGTGTGCGATCTTGGCTCACTGCAACCTCTGTCCCCCGGGTTCAAGTGATTCCCTTGCCTCAGCCTCCTGAGTAGCTGGGAATACAGGTGCGCACCACCATGCCCAGCTAATTTTTTGTATTTTAGTAGAGACGGGGTTTCACCATATTGGCCAGGATGGTCTCGATCTCCTGAACTCATGACCCACCCACCTCGGCCTCCCAAAGTGTCAGGATTATAGGTGTAAACCACCGTGCCCGGTCTTTTTTTTTTTTTTTAATAAAATAAATATGAAACACTTCACGAATTTGCATGTCATCCTTGCACAGGGGCCAGGCTAATCTCTGTATTGTTCCAATTTTAGTGTATGTGCTGATGAAGCAAGCATGAGATTGTCCTTTTTTAATGAAAGTATTTATTATTATTATTATTTTTTGAGATGGAGTCTCGCTCTGTCGCCCAGGCTGGAGTGCAATGGCATGATCTCGGCTCACTGCCAGCTCTGCCTCCTGGGTTCACGCCATTCTCCTGCCTCAGCCTCCGGAGTAACTGGGACTACAGGCGCCCGCCACTGCACCTGGCCAATTTTTTTTTTTTGTATTTTTAGTAGAGATGGGATTTCACTGTGCTAGCCAGGATGGTCGCGATCCACCCGCCTCGGCCTCCCAAAGTGCTGGGATTACAGGCATGAGCCACCGTGACCGTCTGATGTAAGTATTTCCAGCTATAAGTTTCACTGAGTACCCCTGTCACACCATCTCATAAATTTTGGTATCTTGCATTTTATTTTAATTCATCTGAAAGTATTTCAATTTCTCTAGTCATTTCTTCTTTGAGCCACTGGTTAAGAATGTTGTTTAACTTTCACTTACTTGCAAATTCTCCAGGTTTTCCTGTTATTGACTTCTAGCTTCATTACACTTTTGTTGGAAAAGACACTTTGCATAATTTTTTTTTTTTTGAGACAGAGTCTCAGTCTGTTGCTCAAGGTGGAGTGCAGTGGTGTGATCTCGGCTCATTGCAACCTCTGCCTCCCAGATTCAAGCAATTCTCCTAGCTCAACCTTCCAAGTAGCTGGGATTACAGGTGCCTGCCTCCACTCCCAGCTAATTTTTTGTATTTTTTATTAGAGTTGGGGTTTTGCCATGCTGGCCAGGCTGGTTTCGAACCCCTGACCACAGGTCATCCACCCACCTTGGCCTCCCAAAGTGCTGGGATTACAGGCATGAGCCACCAAGCCTGGCCTGTTTTTTTTTTTTTTTTTTTTTTTTAAGACAAGTCCCGCTCTGTCCTGCAGGCTGGAGTGTAGTGGTATGATCTCAGGTCACTGCAGCCTCTGCCTTCCAGGCTCAAGCCATCCTCCTGCCTGAGCCTCCTGAGTAGCTGGGGCTACAGGCGTTCACCACCACTACAGCCGGCTAATTTTTTTATTTTTTATTTTGGTAGAGACAGGGTTTCACCATGTTGCCCAGGCTGGTCTTGAACTCCTGGGCTCAAGTGATCCGCCTGTCTCAGCCTCACAAAGTGCTGGGATTACAGCTGTGAGCCACCACACCTGGCCCTTTGTATAATTTTGACCTTTTAAAATTTATTGAGAATTGTTTTGTGGCCTAACATATGATTTATCATGGGGAATGTTCCATGTGCACTTGAGAGGAATATATATTCTGCTCTTGTTAGATGGATATCTTTCCATATGTCTGTTAGGTCTATTTGGTTTAGTGTGTTGTTCAATTCCTCTAGTTCCTTACTGATTTTGTCTAGATGTTCTATTTACTATTGAAGGTGGGGTATTGACTGGACACAGTAGGTCAGGCCTGTAATCCCAGCACTTTGGGAGGCTGAGGTGGGCGAATTGCTTGAGCTTGGGCATTTGAGACCAGCCTGGGCAACATGATGAAACCCCATCTCCACAAAAAATACACAGATTGGCCGGGTGTGGTGGCGTGTGCCTATAGTTCCAGCTACTGGGGAGGCTGAGGTGGGAGAATCGCTTGAGTCTGGGAGGCAGAGGTCGCAGTGAGCTGTGATAGAGTCACTGCACTCCAGCCTGTGTTGAAGTCTCTGTTATTGTAAAACTATTTCTTCCTTCAATTTTGTTAGACTGTGCATTTTAGAGCCCTTTTTTTTTCTTTTTCAGTTCATACGTATTTATAATTGTTACATCTTCTTGTGATTTGACTCTCTTACCAACATACGATGTCTTTCTGTAACATTTTTTGGCTTAAAATCTATTTTGTCTGGTATTAGTATAGCCACCCCAGCTCTCTTTTGGTTACTATTTGCATGGATTATCTCTTTCCGTCTTTTCATTTTGAAACAATTTGTGTCTTGGGTCTACAGTGAGTATTTTGTAAGTTGCATATTTGGATTGTGTATTACATCATTTAAAAAAAATCCATTCTGCCGATCTTTCCATTGGTCAGATTATTTACATTTAAAGTGATTACTGAAACAAAAAAGTTAATTGACCGGCATGGTGGCTCCCGCCTGGAGGTGAGGCTGCAGTGAGCCATGATCGCACCACTGCTCTTCAGCCTGGGGGACAGAGAGATTGACTCAAAAACAAAAAACAAAAACTTACTTATGGTTGGACTCAGGCCTGTAATCCTATCACTTTGGGATGCTGAGGTGGGCAGATTGCTTGAGCCCAGGCGTTTGAGACCAGTCTGGGCAACATAGCAAGACTCCTGTCTCTACAAAAAATAGAAAAATAAGCTGGGCATGGTGGTGCACACCTGTGGTTCCAGCTACTCAGGAGGCTGAGGTGGGAGGATCAGCTGAGCCTGCGGAGGTCAAGGTTGTAGTGAGCCGTGATTGTGCCACTGCACTCCAGCCTGGGCAACAGAGCTAGACCCCGTCTCAAAAAAACCCCAAACAGGCCGGGTGCAGTGGCTCATGCCTGTGCCTGGCACTTTGGGAGGCCGAGGCAGGTGGGCCACTTGAGGCCAGGAGCTCGAGAGTAGCCTGGCCAATGTAGTGAAACCCTGTCTCTACTAAAAATACAAAAAATTACCTGGCTGTGGTGGTGGGCGCCTGCAATCCCAGCTACTCAGGAGGCTGAGTATCACTTGAACTTGGGAGGCAAAGGCTGCAGTGAGCTGAGAATGAAACACTGCACTCCAGCCTGAGTGACAGAGCAAGACTCTGTCTCAGACAAACCCCAAAAAAGAAAAACAGAAAAACCTATACACCAAAGAACTTACTTACGTCATCATGCTGTTTAGTTTCTACATGAAGTGTTTTGCTCCTCAGTACCTTCTTTTGTGTTTGGTTAATGATTTATCCTGTAATATTTTGATCCTTTCTTAAATTCTTTTCTGTATATTTTAAAAGTTATTTTTTTAGTGGCTACTATGAAGATTTCATTTAACATGCTGAGTTCAAAGTCTAGTTCAGACTGATAGCAACTCAGCTTCAATAGCATACATTAACTCTGCTCCTTTCTCTGTCCCCTACCTATAGTTAACAAATTATGTCTTTAAACAATTAGTGCCTATTAACATAGATCCATATTATTTTATGCATTTTTTTTTTTTTGAGAAGGAGTCTCGCTCTGTCGCCCAGGCTGGAGTGCAGTGGCGCAATCTCGGCTCACTGCAAGTTCCGCCTCCTGGGTTCATGCCATTCTCCTGCCTCAGCCTCCTGAGTAGCTGGGATTACAGGCACCCGCTACCATGCCCAGCTAATTTTTTGTATTTTTAGTAGAGACAGGGTTTCACCATGTTAACCAGGATGGTCTCAATCTCCTGACATCATGATCCACCTGCCTCGGCCTCCCAAAGTGCTGGGATTACAGACTTGAGCCACCGCGCCCGGCCTTTATGCATTTTTTAAATCACAAAGAGGAATAGCATACCCAAAATACAGTAATACTAGCTTTTATATTTAGCGACATAGTTGCATTTACCAGTGCTCTTTATTTCTTCATATAGCTTTGAGTTACTATCTTGTATCCTTTCATTTTAGCCTGAAGGACTCACTTTAGCTTTTTTTTTTGAGCCCGAGTCTTGCTCTGTTGCCCAGGCTGGAGTGCAGTGGTGCAATCTCCACTCACTGCAACCTCTGCCTCCCACATTCAAGTGATTCTCCTGCCTCAGCCTTCCATGTAGCTGGGATTACAGGCACGTGCCATCACACATGGCTAATTTTTGTATTTTTAGTAGAGATAGGGTTTCACCATATTGGCCAGGCTGGCCTCAAACTCCTGACCTCAGGTGATCTACCCACATCAGCCTCCCAAAGTGCTGGTATTACAGGCATGAGCCACTGTGCCTGGCCAAGAACTCTTATATTTTTATTCATTTATTATTTTTGTTTAGTGACAGGTTCTTGCTCTGTCAACCAGGCTGGAGTGCAGTGGTGTGATCAGAGCTCACTGTAACCTCCAACTTCTGGTCTCAAGTGAGCATCATGAGTAGTTGGAACTACAGATGCATACCACCATGGCCAGTTAATTTTTTAAATTTATATTTTGTAGAGATGGGGTCTATGTTGTCCAGGCTAGTCTTAAACTGCTGGCTGCAAGCAATCATCCCGCCTCAGCCTCCTGAATAGCTAGGACCACAGGCCTGAGCTACCCTGTCTGGCTAATTATTTTTATTTTGTATAGATGGGGTCTCCTTACGTCACCCAGGCTGCTTGTGGACTCCTGGCCTCAGGTGATCCCACTTCAGCCTCCCAAAGTGCTGAAATTACAAGCGTGAACCCATGCTGAGCTCCCCCAACCCCCCCTTTTTTTTTTGAGATGGAGTCTTGCTCTGTTGTCCAGGCTGGAGTGCAGTGGCACCATCTCAGCTCACTGCAACTTCCACCTCCCGGACTCAAGCGATTCTTGTGCCTCAGCCTCAGTCAGCTGGGACTACAGGTGCACGCCACCATGCCTAGGTAATTTTTTTGTATTTTTAGTAGAAATGGGGTTTCACCATATTGGCCAGGCTGCTCTCAAACTCCATCCACCTGCCTTGGCCTCCCAAAGTGCTGAGATTACAGGCGTGAGCCACCATGCCTGGCCCCAGCTCCACTTTTGCATTCTTTTTTTTTTCTTCCCTGAGAGTAACATGGGGGAGACTTTAGCATTCTTTATAACACAAGTTTACTAATGATAAACTCCCTTGACTTTTCTGGGACTGTCTTAGTTTCCTTCATTTTTAGAGGTTATTTTTTTTTTTGAAAGATATAGGATTCTTGGTTGACTTTTTGCTGTCAGAACTTTTAATATATCATCTGTCAGTGGGAGAGAGGGGAAGAAGTGTCCTACTGCCTTCTGTACTCCGTGATTTCTGATAAGCAACTGTTAATCTTACTGAAGATCCCTTGTACAGGATGAATCACTTACCTCTTGCTGCTTTCCTGTCTTTAACTTTCTACAATTTGATAATAATGTGCCTCAGTGTGGATCTCTTTTAGTTTATCCTGCTTTGAATTTGTTGAGCATCTTGAATGTGTAGATTCACAACTCCCATCAAATGTGGGATATTTTTGGTCACTATTTTTATTATTTATTTATTTATTTATTTATTTATTTAGAGACGGAGTCTCGCTCTGTTGCCCAGGCTGGAGTGCAGTGGCGGGATCTCGGCTCACTGCAAGCTCCGCCTCCTGGGTTCACACCATTCTCCTGCTTCAGCCTCCCCAGTAGCTGGGACTACAGGCGCCCACCACCTTGCCCACCTGCTAATTTTTGGTATTTTTAGTAAAGATGGGGTTTCACCATGTTAGCCACTGCACCTGGCCTGGTCACTATTTCTTAAAAAAATCTTTCTAGGCCAGGGCACAGTGGCTCACACCTGTAATCCTAGCACTTTGGGAGGCCAAGGTGGGCGGACTGCTTGAGCCTGGGAGTTCAAGACTGGCCTGGGCAACATGGCAAGACCTTGTCTCTCCAAAAATACAGAAATTAGCTGTGCTTGGTGGTGGTATGGGCCTATAGTCCCAGCTACTTGGGAGGCTGAAGGGGGAGGATTGCTTGAGCCTAGGAGGTAGAGGCTGCACTTAGCCATGAGCCGTCAGATCACACCACTGCACTCCAGCCTGGAGGACAGAGCGAGACCGTCTCAAAAAAAAAAAAAACAAAAAACAACAACAAAAAAAAACCATAGGGATATATCTATCTGCATGACTATAGATTAGGCAATGGTTTCTTACATACACCCTAAAGCACACCAACCAGAGGAAAAATTAATTATGTTTTCTCAAGATTAAAAAGGAGACTATCAAGAAAGCACAAAGATAACAGATTGAGAGGAAATATTTGCAAAGTATATGCATGATAAAGGTCAATTATCTAGAATATATATTTCAAAAATTCATTTAGAGATAGGGTCTTGCTATGTTGCCTAGACTAGTGTTGAACTTCTGGGCTCAGGTGATCCTCCTGCCTCAGCCTTCTGAGTAGCTGGGACCATAGGCCTATACTACCACAACTGGCTGTGGAATATGTAAAGCACCCTTACCACTCAATAATGCGGACAAAACCCAATTTAAAAATGAGCAAAGGCTTTAAATAGAATAAAAATGAAACATTTAAGACTGCTGAAAGTGGTTGCCTTGGGGCAGTGGAAAATGGTGAGGCAGGTGGTGTCTGGATTGGAGGGGACGAGCTATTGTGAACAATAAACCTTGTATCACTATTTGGCTCTCTGGATCACGGTTCATAACAAGGGATGAATTTGTTCCACAGGGGACATTTGGCAATCTGAATATATTTGTCATTGTTATAACTGAGGGGGTCTTCCTGACATCTAATGTGTAGAGGCCAGGGATATTACTAAACATCCTACAAGGCAGAGAATTACATAGCCTAAAATGTCAACAGTGCTGAGGTGAAAAACTGAAGTATGTTTGAGGCTGGACGTGGTGGCTCATGCCTATAATACCAACACTTTGGGAGGCTGAAGCAGGTGGATCACCCGAAGTTAGGAGTTCGAGACCAGCCTGGCCAACATGGTGAAACCCCGTCTCTACTAATAATACGAAAATTTGCTGGGCATGGTGGCGCATGCCTGTAATCCCAGCTACTCCGGAGGCTGAAGCAGGAGAATCGCTTGAACCTGGAAGGCGGAGGTTGCGGTAAGCCAAGATCACACCACTGCACTCCAGCCTGGGTGATAGAGTGAGATTTCGTCTCAAAATAAATAAATAAATGAAGTATGTTTGATAAAAATACAAACACAAGTCAATAAAAGTCTGTTAAAAATATTAAAAAATCATAAAAACAATATTTTGTACAATATCCATAGATGTAGTTTTCTTCATGTGCCATGCTTTGACTACCTTAACAAACAGCAGGGCTGGGAAAGCCTGTCAGGGATGTTTAGTGAATATGGAATTTATTTGCTTGTGAGTTAACATGCCAGGCTTTTCTTTTTTTTTGAGACAGTCTCACTCTGTGGCCCAGGCTGGAGTGCAGTGGCGCAATCTCGGCTCACTGCAAGCTCCGCCTCCTGGGTTCACGCCATTCTCCTGCCTCAGCCTCCCAAGTAGCTGGGACTACAGGCGCCCGCCACCACGCCCGGGTAATTTTTTTGTATTTTTAGTAGAGATGGAATTTCACCATGTTAGCCAGGATGGTCTCCATCTCCTGACCTTGTGATCCGCCTGCCTGGGCGTCCCAAAGTGCTGAGATTACAGGCGTGAGCCTCCGTGCTCAGCCATGCCAAGCGTTTTTAAAAAAGTAAATCAGCTCTTTGGCTAGTCATGGAGTAAAAAAAAAAAAAAAAAGGAAAAGAGAAAAAATATAGAAAAAAGGAATGACCAATCCTACTAGTTAGGGTGCCAAAAGCACTGAAAATTCATGCCTTTACTTCTCATCTCCTTAATCAGGGATATTAGAATACACTGGTGTAGAGGCTCATAAAGCACCAGTTAAGTCTTCTTCAGGTGCTATATAAGTCATCTATGGCTATTTCAGAAGCAAGTAACTTGAGTATCGTGTGTGAGTTTTAAAAATAATTGAAAATAGGTCAGGCACAGTGGCTCACCCCTATAATCCCAGCACTTTGGGAGGCCAAGGTGGGTGGATCATGAGGTCAGGAGTTTGAGACCAGCCTGGCCAATATGGTGAAACTCCATCTCTAATCAAAATACGAGAAAATTAGCTGGGCGTGCTGGCACGCATCTGTAGTCCCAGCTGCTAGGAAGGCTAAGGCAGCAGAATTGCTTGAACCCAGGGGGCGGGGGGTTACAGTGAGCCGAGATCACGCTACTGCACTCCAGCCTTGGGGACAGAGCGAGACTCCGTCTCAAAAAAAAAAAAAAAAAAAAAAAAAAAAGAAAATTTCTGTCAAGGTAAAAAGAGTAATTGACCAGATTTTTAAAAACTAAAACCTTCAGGAGCCAAAATTACTGACACTAGTGCTCTCATCTTTATATAGCTAGCACAGGCAATTTAGTTTTCTAATATTACTATCAACAATACTCCTCAACATTAATCTTTAAAAAATTACCATTGGCCAGGCATGGTGGCTCATGCCTGTAATCCTAGTACTTTGGGAGGCCAAGGTGGAAGGATCACTTGAGTCCAGGAGTGTGAGACCAGCCTGGGCAACATAGGGAGACCTCGTGTCTACAAAAAAATAAAAACAATTAGCCAGGTGTCGTACCCATACATGTGGTCCTAGCTACTCAGGAGGCTGAGGTAGAGTAACTGCTTGATCCCAGGAGGTAGAGGATGCAGTGAGCCGTGATTGCACCACCGCACTCCAGCCTGGGTGACAGAGCAAGACACTGTCTCAAAAAACAAAAACCAACCCCCCAACCAAAAAAAAATCAGTATTTCCAATATATAGTCAAAGGCCACCACTAAGACTTATCCCACATTCACATGACTTAAATCTGCTGCCCCACCATTATTCTAACATTCTGGAACTGGTTTTTGTATCACTTTCCCCCTTACACATTTTAGTAGCCCACCTAGAGTGCAGATAGACACCACCATGCTGGGGAAGGGCTCACTATGCCCATATACTGGGGGCCTGTTTATCTGACTGACCCTATGCCAGGAGCATGCAGAGGCAGAACTGTGACATACGGACAAAGACCAAATGAAAGCCAGGCTTCACACTGGCAGTTAAGTAACTGGTGGAATCAAGTCTAGAATCCAGTTCTGATTACAGTTAGTATTCTCTCTTCAATAGTTGTTACATTCTGTGGCTAAATTATTCCACATTAAATCCCCTTTAGTGAAAAACGGCACTAAAAGTTACTTCACTATCAGCTTTCAACATTAGAGCCTCTTTCTCAAGAACAGCTGTTCATATTATTTAATAAAATACAAAATAATTCGAGAATAAAGACTATGCTTTCAGGGATCATTTCTATAGTTCGTTACTCGGGAAGTTTCTCTGAACGTGTAAAGCACCGAACAAAAAAAAAAAAAACAATTCAAGAATAAAATCTGGGCAGCTCACAATAAAGTGGAAGGAAATGTTATACAGGTGGTCGCTATAAACATTTCAGAAATCCAATTGCAGTATTATAACTTATGAAAAGAGAAACTACCACATGTAAAAACACAGAAAAGAAACGTAAGTTTTGGAAAACGTAGACTTTTAATAACTGCTTTTATCACCAGGTTAAGCCATGCAGTTACAAAGTAGTTAGAAATTTCTGAAGGGTGTTAGAGTTAAAAAAAAAAAAAAAGCTGACTCTTACACATATATTATCTAGCACTTCATGGGGACACTACTGTTCAAAAGGCCCTGGCCAAATAACTCCCAAATGAAACACTCAACCCAAGGATGTTTTCAGCCCACTGTTAGTGAAGCTGGGTGCAGAATGCAAAGCCTCTAAAAGGAGAGGATACAAAGTCAGGTGAGTAGGGGCCATTGGCAATGCTCAGAGCCAGCCAGACTCCAAACAGGGAGCCCAAGTGGTTTTTTTCTGGGACACTCTACTTGAATTATTGTTTAATTAGTCAACCATAGATCTTCAAAAGAGAACAATTAGTTAACATGATAAAAAGTGACTGCATTCTTTGGACTGTATCATAATTATAGTAAGCAAATTCTGACAGTTTTAATGAAAATAGCCTCCACCATTTTGCAGGTATGAAGATAACTTAATTATCCACAGGGCTTTTAATGTCTGCTGGACAATACATGAATGATAAGCTATAAATGACATTGTTTTATGATATAAAAATACTAGTTTTTTTCATTTATTATTTCTATAGGCATTCACTGTTTGAGTCAAGGTTAGGCTTGTTAAGTGATTAAAGGCAATTTTATTACAGCAGCATGTACTTATTCTATTCTAAAAGAATAATATTCATAAACAGAAACAGGTTTTATATTTGTTTGCAACCTGCAAAATTGAATTATTTTGCTGATATAAAATACTAAGAACTCACTTGAGGACCATGCCACCTTCTGAAAAGGCCACACACCTACTTCTTAAATGTGTTAAAGTTACAGTGTGTCCCAGACTCATCCAGAAAAAATAAGCAAGCAACTGACTGCTCTTGACTGTTCCTCCCCAGCACTAGCACTGATTGTGTTGGGAAAAGCCACAGAGCAAGGCTGCACAGCCAGATAAAGGAGGCTTTTTATTTAAAGGCAAAATACCAAAATGGCTCTCTGGTGTAGGTGATTTCTACTTTCACACTCAGCTTGTACATGATCCGCTAACCTTAATTTCTTTCTCCTTAACGGGCTGACTTGGATTGACTTGTTGAGAATGGTATCCATTATTAATGAGTCAGGAGAGAAAGGGATTTCTGTGGTTACATGTAAACTTGTGATAGGTCTGCAGAAGTTACATGTGAAGAGGATAGTGAGGAAGTCAGCCATGATCCATCTATGTGAAGGTCACACCAGCTTCATTGTACACTTTGAAGACTTTCTCAATGGCATTAACATAGGCAGCTGTTCTCAGGTCCAATCCCAGGTTATACTTCATGGCTGTGCGCATAATTTGCTGAAATGAAAGAGAAAATGCAGTGAAGATGATCCTGACTCAAGTGGCCAGGCCATAAACACACAAGGCCCAGACAGGCCTGGTCCAAGTTACCCTCTCATTGTTTCAAGGCAGGACTTGGGCAGCCAAAGACAAACTACTCTAGCAGCAGAACCTCTAGGCAGGAGGGCCTAATTCTCTGGACTTAACAATGGGGTGGCTGGGTGCGGTGGCTCACGCCTGTAATCCCAGCACTTTGGGAGGCCGACGTAGGCAGATCACTTGAGCTCAGGAGTTCAAGACCGGACTTGCCAACATGGTAAAACCCTGTCTCTACTAAAAATACAAAAATTAGGCAGGGGTGCGGTTGCTCACACCTGTAATCCCAGCACTTTGGGAGGCTGAGGCAGGTGGATCACTTGAGGTCAGGAGTTCGAGACCAGCCTGACCAATATGGTGAAACCCCATCTCTATTAAAAATACAAAAAATTAACCGGGTGTGGGGGTGGGCGCCTGTAATCCCGGCTACTCGGGAGACTGAGGAAGGAGAATTGCTTGAAGCCAGGAGGCGGTGGTTGCAGTGAGCAGAGATTGCACCATTGCACTCCAGCTGGGTGACAGAGCGAAACTCCATCTCAAAAAACTAAACAAAATGAAAACAAAATCAAAAATTAGTTGGGCATGGTGGCTCATGCCTGTAATCCCAGCTACTCGGGAGGCTAAGGGACAAGAATTGCTTGAACTTGGGAGGTGGAGGTTACAGTGAGCTGAAAGTGCGCCACTGCACTCTAGCCTGGGCAACAGGGCAAAACTCCGTCTCAAAAAAAAAAAAAAAAAAAAAAAAAAGGGAGTGATGAAAATGTTCTAGAATTATAAAGTGGTGATGGCTCAAATATATAATAAAGGATGCCGAATTTAATACTTTGAAAGGATGAATTTATACCACATACACCCTATCTCGATCAAAAATTAACAAGAAAAACAACAGCCCTAAGAAGCACCACCTTCTTCACCAATATCTGCTTATGCTATTTCATCATAAATCCAAGCAGATAGAATCTGAACCCAAGAAGAAATTAGGAAAACTGGACTCAAACTGTGGTTGAGGCCTTAAAGTAGGGATCAAGCAGTCAAAATAAGTTTTGCTTATACCAAATTCTATAGTAAGGTAGACTCCCGTAGCTATAACATAGTGGCACATGGAGCTACAATCCAGTTTGGCTAACTACTCCATACTGGGCTAGCTGCCAACATCATTACCTCCTAAATCAGCCTTATTATTTCTTTCCAAAGCCTCAAAAACATATTTGAAGACTCTAAAAAATTGCTTATCATCTGAGACTGAAAAAACATGTGTTTTGCTACACACAAATGAGGACCATTGAACAGATTGATGTTTTCTATCAGCACATACAGTCTGGCGGCTGAGATAGCATGGTTGAGTTGCACTTCATGTGACTAGCTGGAAGGCAAACAGCATCTGCACACATACCCTGGCAGAACGCTCCATTGTGTATGCCAAGCCAGAGTGCACGATGTCTTTCTCAGATGCACCCTATTAGGGAAAAGAACACAAGTTTAACAAAACCACAAAGACCTGCTTTGTGTCCCTGTATAAGATGACAAAGGATTCTCAAGTCAATATACAACCAGACAGAATTTTTTGTCTTTTAGCTAAGATATGTCATTTCTGCACAGTATCAAAGATACAGTATCTTGATACTTACTGAAGCAGTTGCTTGTTGATCACAATTTATTTTTATTATATTTGACAGCAAACAAATACTCATGAAATAAGATTATAGTACAACAATGAAGACAGTTTTTGGACCTAGAGACATGAGGGCATGGAGTGAGATGAGCACCCTCCACTCATGGAGACGCAGATGCACTGAGCAATGTGTTACACTGTTCATGCCACGGTGCGTTCGCCTCAGCTCCCCAGAGAACAGGGACACCACACAGAACACAGAAAGGAATCTGATTAAACCCCATAGCGGCTTTGGGGTAGAATTCTGTGTATCTATTCAGTAGTGCCAGCAACTTTTAAAGCTGTGTAGATCTCAGCAGCGTTTTAATTTTACTGATGAGGAAACTAAGGACCAGAGAAGATGGCCAAGGTTACAGATAGCTATTTTCAGAGCTGGGATATGACTCAGGGCCTCCACCATCAAGTCAGTTCTCTCTTTCCTAATTTGTTTCTTGGAATGCTTTCTAAAAAATTAAGGACAATTAACTCACTACCACTCTTAAGGTGACATACAGAGCTACAAAACACATATGCCCGATAAAAACTTAAAATGGGTCACTGATATAGTTTGGACACTTACTGAGTACATACTCTTCCAGGTACTAGGGGACATAGTAGAGAATAAAATCAAAATTCTGTTCTCACAGACTTTATATTGTAGTGGGAAGAGAGTGTATATACATGGACTTCAAACCACAAGGCTAAGTGGATCATTGAAGTTTTCAATCTAGATAGAGAAGTGGTTTAGGGACGCAGGCCTTCCAATGTTAGGAGAGTGAAGAGTTGAAGAGATACCAGCAAGAGGCAATTGAGAAGAAATGTTTAGTGAGGTAGGGAGAAAACCAGGAGAATGTGGTATCCTGGAAGCTAAGAGAAGAAAATGTTTCAAGGTGGGAGTGTCAGTTGTAACAAGAACTGCTGATAGGTCAAGCAAGATGAGGACTGAAAAATAGCTACTGGATTTGGCAATGCTGGTGTCACTGGCTGTCTTGACAAGAATAGTCTTGGTGGAGTAGGTTCAAGTAAAGAAGAATTGGAGGCTGAGTATATACAACTCTTCCAAGGAGGTTTGCTCTACAGGAAACAAATGGCAATACTGGAAGGGGAAGTGGGATTAAGATTTATACATTTTTTAAAACAGCATTTGGTAAGCTGAGGGGAATGACTCAGAGGGAAACTGCTGATGTAGGAGAGAGGAGCAGACTTGCTAGAGCAGTGTATCTGAGGAAAAACCATCCAATGCCCACAACAAGAACTGGACCTAAGAAATGAAAGCACAAAGAGCTGATCTATTCGAAGAGAGATGACACAGGACTGGGTACAGGTACCAGGAGCTGGGTAGATGCGGAAGCTCCCAGGCTGCATCAGTTTTATCTGTGAACAGATAGCAGGTCATGAGCTGGAATGCAGGGCAGTGAGAAGAGGAGAAAATGTGATGTAATCACTCAGGAGACGGGGAGAATGAATGAAACACGGAAAAGCAGTATGACTGCTGGGCAGCTCTGAGCGCCTACTTGAGGTTAGTGGTCAGGGTGTGAACTGCCAGCAGGGCCTCCTACAGGGTAGAGGCACGGGATTTAATCAGGGATTTAATCAGGGCTGCTGGGATTTAATCAGGGCTTAGGTGTTAACAAAGGAGTATGACAAAGGAAACAAGACTGGGGAGTGACTGTAATGATGGAGCACGGAATTTAAGTTAGATAAGGAGGGAAGTGAGGGCACTGGGGGGATGAGGGACAGTGGAAACATGGCAGGGTCATGATGTGGGTCCTGATAGTGCCAAACAGGGGCAGGGGGAAACTAGAGGGAGAGAGCTTGAGAAAACTTTTATTTTTTTAACTGACAAGGCATATGCTGGGCAGTGGGGTGACCAAAGGGAGGGGTGAACAGCCCTCTGGCAGGGACAGTAGCAGCGCAAGTCCTTCCGATGCACTGCTAGCCACTTGGGATGGATGTTATGTACGAAACAGTGGCACACAGGAGACTTTCAGAGAGAGCCACAGAACTGCAGTGACACTTAAGCAGGGAGGAGATCAGTGTATTCCAGATAAAAGGACCAGAACAAAGACATCACTCTAGGAAATAGGAAGTTTACTGAGGGGAACGGTTAGTACCTAGAATGGGTAAAGCATTTTTTCTTTCTTTACAACAAAATCTTTAACTTTTTCCCATGTTGCAATATAGTCTCAGAACTGTTTTCCATCACTGAATATTTCATAAGGAGATATATTGACGGCCGGGCGCGGTGGCTCACGCCTGTAATCCCAGCACTTTGGGAGGCCGAGGCGGGTGGATCACGAGGTCAGGGGTTTGAGACCAGCCTGACCAACAAGGTGAAACCCCGTCTGTACTAAAAATACAAAAAAATTAGCTGGGTGTGGTGGCGGGCGCCTGTAATCCCAGCTACTCAGGAGGCTAAGGCAGGAGAATTGCTTGAACCTGGGAGGCAGAGGTTGCAGTGAGCCAAAATCGCACCACTGCACTCCAGCCTGGGTGACAGATCGAGACTCTGTCTCAAAAAAAAAAAAAAAAAAAAAAAAACCAAAAAAAAAGAAGATATAATTTACCCATTGTAATATATTCTTAAACTATGAGTGAATATTACCTAAGATGTATTATAAGATATAAGTCAGCCATTTCCCTGCTCCTAAACTTTAAATAAAACCAAATTTAAAAACTGTTTACACCGTTTCTTTTTTTTTTTTTTTTTGAGATGGAGTTTCGCTCTTGTTGCCCAGGCTGGAGTGCAGCGGTGCATTTCTTGGCTCACTCCAACCTCTGCCTCCTGGGTTCAAGCGATTCTCCTGCCTCAGCCTCCCGAGTAGCTGGGACTACAGGTGCGTGCCACCATGCCTGGCTAATTTTTTGTATTTTTAGTAGAGACGGAGTTTCACCATGTTGGCCAGGCTGGTCTTGAACTCCTGAACTCAGGTGAGCCACCTGCCTTGGCCTCCCAAAGTGCTGGGATTATAGGCGTGAGCCACCGCACCTGGCCTACACATAGTTTCAATAACATCATCGTGCATGGAGTGGTTCCTCCTCTTTTGAATTATTTTCTTAGGATAAATTCCCAGAGGGGAGATTGTCATAGCACCAAAGGGCAGGAACACTTTAATAACTTCACATTTTCCAAAGAGCTGCACCAATCTACACCGTCACTAGAATAAAGGTACAACTGTTTCACCACATATATGGAGAACATAAGATCCATTGTTTTTGTTAATACATTAAAAAAAAAAAACTCTTTTTCAATTTGTATTTCTTTAACAATGAGGTTAAATTTTTCCCCCAGGCTTATGTGTTATGGACTTTTGTTTTTCCTGTCTTCCATCATTTACTGGTAAAGAAGTTTCCCTCCCTCCATCCCTCCTTTCTTTTTTTTGGCGGGGGGAGGGGGGTGGCGGCGGCGGGAACGGAGTATCTCTCTGTTGCTCAGGCTAGAGTGCAGTGGTGCAATCTCGGCTAACTGCAACCTCCACCTCCCGGGTTCAAGTGATTCTCCTGCCTTAGCCTCCCAAGTAGCTGGGACTATAGGCGTGTAGCACCACGCCTGGCTAATTTTTGTATTTTTAGTAGAGACGGGGTCACCATGTTGGCCAGGATGGTGTCGATGACTTGACTTCGTGATCCACCCGCCTTGACCTCCCAAAGTGCTGGGATTACAGGCGTGTGCCACCATGCCTGGCCTCTTGTTTCTTTCTTTATTTTTGTAGAGATGGGGACTCACTATGTTCCCCAGGTTGGTCTCAAACTCTTGGACTCCCATATAGTTCAATCTAATGCTTGCTTTTCAATTCTTCCTATTTCTCTGAAGCTTAAAATAATTAAAATACATAATAATCCTTCACTGTTAAAACACGTGCGTGAAAAATACCAAATTTATTTATTTTATATTTGTTAGTAGTCAGTAGGATTCTTACTCCAGTTTTAGAATGTAATGAAAAGGAAAGGTACAAAACACACATGTCACGCACTTACTGTCAAGCTAATTACAAAGACTATGCCGCAGATGAAATCCATCTAACCAGCTCTGTCTGAAGGAAAGAGCAGGGAGCATGTGTGAAGTACAACTGTGGGGTCACCACACTCACCGATATCCTGTCTTGGAACTCTGCCGTGGGTACAATGGGAATAGTTCCACCATGCTTTCCAAATTTTCTTTCTAAACTCTCTTGAACAGACACTACAAAAAAATAACAAGAGATCAAGATATTGCTAACAGAAAAAAAAAAAAAAAAGTAGAATCAAAAGTAGTCCCAAACTATAACTGTAACCCAAAAACTTATACAGACAGAGTCGTGGTCTGTCACCCAGGCTGGAGTGTAGAGGCGTGATCTCAGCTCACTGCAAACTCTGCCTCCCGGGTTCACGCCATTCTCCTGCCTCAGCCTTGCGAGTAGCTGGGACTACAGGTGCGCGCCACCACGCCCAGCTAATTTTTTGTATTTTTAGTAGAGACGGGGTTTCACCGTGTTAGCCAGGATGGTCTCGACCTCCTGACCTCGTGATTCATCTGCCTTGGCCTCCCAAAGTGCTGGGATTACAGGCGTGAGCCACTGCGCCTGGCCTTATACAGAGTTTTAATGACATAAAAGGGTTAATCATTTAAAACTCAGTCAGGAAGGAATAAAACACATTGCCAATTTCCTATATAAATGTGAATTTAGGTCACTGCTCTGTTTCCATAACACCCATTACCAGGGTTTTTCCTTGGCTCTATTAAAAAGAAAACGCTGGGGGAAAAAGAAAAGGAAATAGATGGAACACTTCACCCAGATTCTCACAGTGGGCTGAGTACAGAAGCTCAGTAGGAGGTCTTGGTCTTATTTCAACTAGATGAGAAATTCTACTCTTAACTGTGGAGCTTACTCTAGTCAAAGAAAAACAAGTATTCTCATCAGGAGTCTCAAAAACAATTCTTGACACTAGATAGGCCTTTACTAAGAGCAACCAGAGACAGAAATTAGTATCGACAGTGGAGTTTTAAAATCACACTTAAAAAAATATTATTGGCTGGGCACAGTGGCTCACGCCTGTAATCCCAGCACTTTGGGAGGCTGAGGCAGGCGGATCATGAGGTCAGGAGATCAAGGCTATCCTGGCCAACATGGTGAAACCCCGTCTCTATTAAAAATACAAAAATTAGCCGGGCGTGGCGGTGAGTGCCTGTAGCCCCAGCTACTTGGGAGGGTGAGGCAGGAGAATTGCTTGAACCTGGGAGGCGGAGGCTACAGTAAGCCGAGTTCGTGCCACTGCACTCCAGCCTCGGCGACGGAGCGAGACTCCCTCTCAAAAAAAGAAAAAAAAAATGTAGATTATATTCTGTGAATATTACATCACAGAATAAAACTCTGGATATAATATATGGGAGAGTTAATATCCAGAAAGACATTGTGCATTTTTGGTCTAAGTTTCATGAGACAAAATATTATTTTCTTTTCTGAGACTCAATTCTTTCCCAAAGGGATCAGTTCTCTTAAGTGGACCTTTTTACAGCCTTTCAGCTGGCTCAAAAGATGAGTTTTGGCGAACAAGATTATCGATACTCACTGAGCAAGTGGTAGTTAGAATCCCTTTCATATTTGAAGGTCAAACGGCCATAGCTGACATGATTTAGATTCTTCAGCCACTCAAAGTAAGATACTGTCACTCCTCCAGCATTCAAGTAGAGATCCTATGCACAAAAATAAGACAAAGAAATTAGAAGATGATGGTTTTCGTAAAAGCTGAAAATGAACCTAAGACCTTAATTTCAATACCAAGGTAGACTGGACTTTAAATATCGCAAATATATTTTAGCCAGTATCAGGAATTTCACACTTAATTAACACTCCTTCCCATCCCACCCAATTCCATCTAAGGCTTTTTCTATTTAGGAAAAAAAAAAAATCATTTTTTGGCTTATTAATCAAGGAAAGTTAATAATCTTTGGTTGGAGCCTCTTCTCTACCAGAAGTTAGTTCTCAGACTAAATGGCTTGCCCACCAACCAGTTGGACTGGACTGTCCACAGGGCCTCTCAGAAGACAGGATTCTTTCTCCTATTACCTAAGGGTAGCCCATTTCAGTTACATTAAATGTCTTAAGTGCTTTCAGCAAAGGGGGTTCTTTAAAATATATTCCAAGCCCACATTAATTTCTAGTAACTTTTTGGTGTAGACTCATTTTTACTTGCTAAAAAACCTGAGCACGTGTTCCTCATATTAGTTTTCTGAGTAAAGCTGGAAAGGGCACTTGAAATGCATAAGGTTAGGAATCATATAGAAAATCTTAAGAGCTTTAGTTAGAATAGTGTTTCTAACACAGTACACATTTATATAACCAGACTCTTAGAAGGCTAAAGACATTCAGTAAAGAGCCTGAAATTGGAATAAATGTTTCGATCAAAGTGAAAATTAACAGGCTTAGAATTAACCATGCTTCTACTATATTTTCTCAAAAGTGAAAAAGATGAATTCACTAGAGCTTGGAGACTAATAATTCCTCTCTTCCTCCAAATTCCTTGCAAAAGACTATTATGATTCTAAGTACATATAAAGCCTAATAAATATAGATGACTTACTGGAATAACCATAATGTTTCTCTCCAGGAAGATCTTGTCAGCTTCTGGAGTTGTTGGCCCATTGGCACCTTCAGCAATGATCTGCAAGAGAGTCAGGAACATAGAGAAATGCGAACACCACCGTCAAATCCCCTCCACTGAGGGCAAGAGATGTGCATATATGAACAAGGGGCTGTGGGGAGAAGCACAGTTTCAGTTAAAGTTAAATAGAGGTTATTTTTCTCTGCCAAGTGTATAAAACTACCTTTCACTTTTCTATTTATCTAGGTTTTTTTTTTGTTTGCTTGTTTTTTTTTTTTACAGGAGTGTCAGGCAGATGCGTTTGTTTTGGTAATGGTTGCACAACTCTGTGCCGGTAGCTAAAAGCCATTAAATTATGTACCTTAAATGGGGGAACTGTATGGTATGTGCAGTATGTGCCAATAAAGCTGCTAAAAAGAAAGAGAAAACTCAATCAGACTCTTCTATGACCCCCCTAACGTCATTCACATTGATAATGTTGGTTCTGGTTTCTATAATGTTGTCACCTTGGCTTTGACTCTGGGTGCGTTGGATTTGGTCAACTGCTTCTCACTGGCAGCTGGGATCAGTATGTCACAGTCGGCCTCCAAGATGCTTCCTTCATAGGGCTTTGCCTTGGGGAAGCCCAGAATGGACCCATGTTGCTGCCATTGATTGAAAATCACAATTAATAGCTGCACCAGAGTTTTAAATATTTATATTTAGTGTCTATGCTATAAAAATGTATTAATACCAATTTGAAGTCTTCCAGTTCCTTTGGGTCAATACCATCTGGATTCCATATACTCCCATCAGACTCACCAACAGCAATACATTTAGCACCAAAACGATGTAAATATCTCATAGAGTGTAGGCCCACATTACCAAATCCCTGTGAAGAACAATTACCCATAACACAAAAATTAAAGTCCTGGTATAGACAGCAAGAGTCATATTTTGACCAATGTAAATCCATACTCTGTTTATTTAGAAGCAATTCTCAAAATTCTTTTGCCAAAAGAAACAATGTACTAACTGGTTTCTCTTCAACAATAAAATTCTCTGTTTAAGAATGTGATGAGCGGGCATGGTGGCTCACGCTTGTAATTCCAGCACTTTGGGAGGCTGAGGCAGGTGGATCACTTGAGGTCAGGAGTTCGAGATCAGCCATGGCCAACATGGTGAAACCCCGTCTCTACTAAAAATACAAAAATTAGGCATGGGGTCCGTGCCTGTAATCCCAGCTACTTGGGAGAATGAGGTAGGAGAATCACTTGAACCTGGGAGGTGGAGGTTGCAGTGAGCCGAGACTGCACTCCAGCCTGGGCAATAGGGTGAGACTCCATCTCAATCAATCAATAAATGGCAGTGGTGTTAAGTACACCACCAGGTCCTCAGTCCTTGATGATCAGATGTCCTATGTTGTGAAAAGGGATGTCACTAATTTGGAGAAATACAATTTTTTTTTTTTTTTGAGACCGAGTCTCATTCTCTCACACAGGCTGGAGTGCAATGGCACAATCTTGGCTCACTGCAGCCTCTGCCTCCCGGGTTCAAGTGAGTCTCCTGCCTTAGTCTCCTGAGTAGTTGGGATTACAGGTGCCGCCATCATGCCCAGCTAATTTTTCTTTCTTTTTTTTTGAGACAGAGTCTGGCTCTGTCACCCAGGCTGGAGTGCAGTGGCGCAATCTCGGCTCACTGCAAGCTCCACCTCCCGGGTTCAAGTGATTCTCCTGCGTCAGCCTCCAGAGTAGCTGGGACTACAGGCGTGTACCACCACACCCTGCTAATTTTCCTATTTTTAGCGGAGACCGGGTTTCACCATGTTGGCCAGGATGGTCTTGATCTCTTGACCTCGTGATCTGCCCACCTTGGCCTCCCAAAGTGATGGGATTACAGGCGTGAGCCACCACGCCCGGCTTAATTTTTCTACTTTTAGTAGAGACAGGGTTTCACCATGTTGGCCAGGCTGGTCTCGAACTCCTGGCCTCAAGTGATCCACCCGTCTTGGCCTCCCAAAGTGCTGGGAATACAGGCATGAGCCACTGTGTCCAGCCACCACTTCTATTTTCAAGTAATTTCAACTTAATTAAGATTCTCCTAAGTAAAATACATGTTAACACATGAAACAAATTTGGGTCAGTGTGTAAACCTTTCTATATACTTACAAAACTTAGAAAATTATGTTAAGAGACTTGCCCTTCTAGCTATAATTTCAAGTTTGAATACTAACCAATATTTTGGTTGAATTTGGTGATAGTTTGGTTGAAGTTGGTAACAGTTTCACATGTACTTGAGAGATACTTAAATCAGTTCTAGTTACATGAATCATACCAAGGTTCAAAAAACAAAATATCTATTACTCTGAAAACCACCACTCTAAAATTTAAGAGATTTGAGATAACTTAATTTTAAAATTACAATTCTAAAAACATTGAAAACTTTACTTAATGTCTATCAGTTATTAAGGAAACTTTTTTTGTTTTTGTTTTTACCTGAACAACAAATGTTTTATCTCCAAACCCTGGTGTCATTCCTAAAATGCTCATGTAAGAAGCTTCATTGATGAAATTTTCAATCCCATGGAAGACACCACGGCCAGTAGCAGAGATGCGTCCATGGATTCCCCCTTGGCTGATGGGTTTACCAGTAACACAGGCGTGTGCATTAATATCCTGTAAGAGGGGGTAATTGAAAGAATGAAATGTCAAGTCCAATTTCTCTGTTGAAGGAACATAATGAATTAAAGTCAAAGCACATTCTCATTTAATCAAAAATATGCTAATTAGGAGTGTGTGTATGAATGTATTTAAGGTATACTTTTACCAATAGAGACAAGACTCACTTTTTCAGCTTTCTGTTCCTAGAAAATACAATAAAATATACTATATTTTCTGTTTTTTTTTTTGTTTGTTTGTTTGTTTGTTTTTGAGACGGAGTTTCACTCTTGTTGCTCAGGCTGGAGTGCAATGGTGAGATCTTGGCTCATCGCAACCTCCACCTCCCAGGTTCAAGCGATTCTCCTGCCTCAGCCTCCTGAGTAGCTGGTATTCCAGGCACGTGCCACCACGCCCGGCTAATTTTGTGTTTTTAGTAGAGATGGGGTTTCTCCATGTTGGTCAGGCTGGTCTCAAACTCCTGACCTCAAGTGATCTCCCTGCCTTGGCCTCCCAAAGTGCTAGAATTACAAGCGTGAGCCACCACGCCCGGCAAAGTAGACCATATTTTCTGACAGAAAAAACAAGAGTGTAGGGATTGAACATCAAGTAAGTACAAATAACATCACAAAAGTAGAGCTAGCTCAGCCTAAAGCTATCATTCCTTCAACAAGTATTTAAGCACTACTAAATCAAGGTACATACACATCCCATTCATGAGTGTCTTAAAATCTACTATAAGACTTGAGCATGTCACCAAAACAGAGCCTGAGACAGGAAGAGGCTTTACAATTGTCTTGGATGGGAAGACTCAATGTTGTATTCTGCCACTTTTGAAAAAGGAAGTTTTTAATATAACTTGATACTTAATATAACATGACATTCAAGTTCATCTAAGAGTAGAGTAACGAAAGTATTTAATGAAGTATTTTTAAAAAGGTATGTGTGGGTAAGAGTCCTGTGCTTCTGTGTGAGCAGAGTATCTTTGGTAGCAGTGGTTAGCTCTGCAAAGTGGAGATGGGGGTTAACAGTCTTCACCATCCATCTTTCTGTCCTCTTTCTTTGTCTTTTTTTTTTTTGAGACGGAGTCTCGCTCTGTCACCCAGGCTGGAGTGCAGTGGCGCAATTTCGGCTCACTGCAAGCTCCATCTCCCGGGTTCACGCCATTCTCCTGCCTCAGCCTCCCGATAGCTGGGACTACAGGCACCCACCATCACGCCCGGCTAATTTTTTTGTATTTTTAGTAGAGATGGGGTATTTAGTAGAGTAGAGTATTTTTAGTAGAGAGTAACATCCTGTGTTAGTCAGGATGGTCTCGATCTCCTGACCTCGTGATCCACCCGCCTCGGCCTCCCAAAGTGCTGGGATTACAGGCGTGAGCCACCGCGCCTGGCCTGTCCTCTTTCAATTGAAGATGTGTGTATATTCTTGTTCAGAAACAGAAACAGGTGTAATTAGAAAAAAGAAGAATTGGGCTAAGTAGGGCTTCCCTTCCAAGACATCAACTATACTATAAGCACGGCCACGAGAACACTGCAGAGTAAACTCATCGGTGGAGCAGGAGAAACTAGAGACAGTCTTATTTTGTATAGGCAATCAATATAAAATGAAAATTCATATAAAATTTTAAGTCAGTGGCAAAAGTATAAAATAATAAATTTGTTGAAGCAATTTGCTTTCCATGTAAACAAAATAAAATGCCCTACTTCACACCAAACCCCTAACTCCCAACATATCCCTAACATTCCAGCTGGCTGAATTAAAAAGTGATCTGTTCTTTATCTGTATTGTTTAAATATTTTTACACAGAGAACTTAGAATTATATTATTTGTGTAATTACCAACAAAAAGGATGAAAGCAAGGAAGAAAAACTCAGTCTAGTAGAGTGATTAATAGAATTAGTAGTTTTCCCACAGTTTGCTTTCATGAATAATTAACACTTATGAATACAGAAATGCAAACCGAGTGCCAAATGCTTTTAAACAGTGAGAATGCAAATGCTGGAGCTGAAGGAAATACTGTCTGGGGTCAGGCCTGGCGCCAACTGCCAGGCTCCCCAGCATACGTAATGGTCCTGAAAGCCCAGAGAAGAATACATTCTCCCACCTACACTGCACTTCTAGGTGGGGCTAGGACAAAGAGGGCGGCACGTTTCAGTTCACATCTAGAAATGAGTAACAAAAACAACTGTGTCCTTCCTTTAGGGCTTGATTTTAGATTTCTTATCACTTAAAGAGGGAAAACTGTTCACCAGTATAGTTGCTTCACCTGAGTCCAGCCTGGTCAACATGGTGAAACACCGTCTCTACTAAAAATACAAAAAAATTAGCTGGGCATGGTGGCAGGCACCTGTAATCCCAGCTACTTGGGAGGCTGAGGCAGGAGAATTGCTTGAACCCGGGAGGCGGAGGTTGCGGTGACCTGAGATCGGGTGACAGAGTGAGACTCCGTCTCAAAAAAAAAAAAAAAAAAAAAAAAAAATACCACACCCAGAGCTCATTGCTAAATGAGCTCCTGATCTCAGGTGATCCACCTGCTTCCGCCTCCCAAAGTGCTGGGATTACAGGCGTGAGCCACTATGCCCAGCTGGTCTCTTGTTCTTTTTAAGCAAGACACTATATTGAATAGTGCAAACCAATGGGCAGTATGTTATTTGTAGCTCATTCTCAGTGCTAACAGCAAGAGAAAGTCCTGTGAAGCACGGCCCCTTGAACTATACTGGTGAACAGTTTTCCTTCAAGTGATAAGAAATCTAAAATCAAGGGCTAAGGGAAGGATGCATAAAAAGGTGACAGGTGGAAAACTGTCCTTTTGGGAAGGGCAGTTGAAACCACAATTATTTGAAGGGTCTATATCGTTCCTGTTTTATTTCAGGGGGTTGTATAATTTACCTGATGTAATACCTACAGATATTTATTTTCTGATACTTACTAAGGGCTATGTACAGTTCTAGGTGCATTAGATTATTATTCATCTAATGCTCATGAGTCTCACAAAGTAGGTACTATTACTACTGTCATTTTGCATAGGAGGAAATGGAGGCACAGAGACTCCCAAGTCACAGCACTGATGGGTGAAGGTGCCAGGGTTGGACTTCAGGTGGTCTGCCCATGTTCCCAGCCACAGCATGACATCACTTCAGGAAATGTCCCCATTTCCACATTCTTCCTCTTCTCCAAGGCCCATCTTTTCACTATGAAAAGAATTCCCCAGGCCTTCATTCCCCTGGGGGACTTCACTACCTCTACCAGCCTGCATCTCTTCAGCATTGTCTATCTCTTGCACCGGTAAATCTGTGTCTTACAGCCAATAAACATGCCAAAAGACAAAAAAAACCTTTTTCTCTGGGTAACAGCCACTTTTCAAGCTGTCTTCTTTCTGCTTCTCTCCGGTGCCATTTTTCTTAGTTGGAGGCTATATTTCATGCCCTGCTTCCCTCTTCATATCCCCTTGCAGTCCGGGCCCCTGTAGTAGTCTCCTGCCCTCAAGTCTTCAAATGCACACTTAGCTGAGTCACACCTGCTTGAAACCAGCTCTTTGCTGTTTCCCTGTGTTTTCAGGACAAAGACCAAAGTTCTCATGGTCACCTACCAAGCAGTAACCTGGCCTGACCCTTTTTTCTACTGGCCTTTCTTATCCCACCTTTCTCTTTCTCAACTCTGGCCACAGTAGTCAGTCCTTATCCTCCCAAGTTCACCCAGCTTCTGAACTTCAGAACCTTCCCTCAGGTAATTCCTTCTGTTCCAAACACTTGCCACTACCCCTACCCTAGTCCATGTCCACACACCCGTCTAAGTGCAGACCAGAAGGTTTTATCTCCTAGGAGGCTTTTTCTGACCTTACCTTGAAAGGACTGAAAGGACTGGATGGGCCTGTGATTCTTTTTCATAGCTTCAAAACAACTTCTAGCAATTTATCCCAATTGTAGTGAATACCTTGCTTACACATGGCCCTGCATGTAGTAGGCATAAATGTATTTTTTGACTCTGTTTCTCTTCCTACTCCTGAAATGTTTCATTTTTTAAGGTTGCACCCCTTTCAGGGACAGGAGTTAAGTTTCCTCTCATGTTCAGTTCTGTGGTACTACCTCTGCTCAGTCCCCAGACTCAGGTTCTCCTGGTTCTCTGTGACTCAGCCTGGTCCCTTTCCTTAATTCCACATATATCCAATCCAGTTTTGCTGAGTCTCTCTGTCATGTGCCTCACATGTGCAATGCTCCTCTCCTGGTCCTCTGGCTCCTGGACTTGGTGGAAAGGCACTGACACCATAGGAGGTTCTCTCCTGGCGCCAGCACAGCTGGACACTGCTGCCAGCCTATTCTTCCCCAGGAAGGATCAGCAAAATTTCTCCACTGACTACCATGTAAAACACAAACACTGGGGCTTGGTGTTTTTGTCCTGGTTCATTTACCTCTTCATTCTTACTTTTTTTTTGTTTTGAGACAGGGTCTCACTCTATTGCCCAGGCTGGAGTGCTGTGGTGCAACCACAGCTCACTGCAGCCTCAACCTCCTGGGCTCAAGCATGCCTCCCAGGTAGCTGGGATTATAGGTGTATACCACCACGCTTGGCTAATTTTTGTATTTTTTGGAAAGACAGGGTTTCCCCATGTTGTCCAGGCTGGTCTCGAACTCCTGGGCTCAAGTGATCCACCTGCCTTGGCCACCCAAAGTGCTGGAATTATGGGAATGAGCCACTGCATCCAGCCCTCACTCTTACTTTCTATTACCTTTATAAATATGCCTTACCTTCAGACAAACTGAACGCTATTGTTTCTCTTCCTCTTATCCTCCAAATCTCTAAATGTTCATATTCTACCCATTTTCAAGGTCTAGCCCAAATATCTCCTCTAGAAAGTCTTATTTCAGAATTCATAATCTCCACTGTTGTATTACATTATTTCCATACCTTATCTGCTTATGCACCTTAGTTCCTCTTTAAATGGAAGCCCTCTGAGGGAAAAATCAGAATTGGATGCTTCTTGATGTACGTTCTAGTGTCTTAGCACAGTGGGCTGCCCTGGTCCTGTTCCAGTGACAAGTATAGGGCAGCATATAAGTAAAGCTCAATCTGTGTTCATTACGATTTAAGAATAGACAAGTAGACATAAAATAATATGCACATCAAGATTATGATTGAATGAGAGAAAAACCCAGGGATTCTCAACTTTTGATATAATCAGTCAAACTGTTAATTCTTGTAGACAGCAAATGCAGAAGCCTCGGGGCTTCCAGTGGGTACTCACATAGTGCCCTATGGTGCTGGCATAGGTATCAGCGATCCAGGACATCTCCCGCTCACCTGTGCTCATGTCTGGAGCAGGCACATCAATGCCAGGACCTGCGGGGGCACAGGGAAAGAGGAGTGCACCAGTTTTTAAGAAAAATTCTTCTCGAACACAAAGATCCTTGTAAGTCTCTGTAATAACCAAGTTACCATGGCTAGAAAACTTTAGATCTCATTTAGGTAGCTAATCAAAGTCATAGAAATATTCATTAAATGTTTCACTATAAAATGCAGACACATACAACATTACATAATAATTTCTCCCTCTGGCATTTACTTGCTGTATGTTTGGAAGTTAGCTATGCACAACAGATATAAGCCACTCCATAGGATTTCTGAGTGTGCGACCAGAGGTTAATCAGTTTAGCCTCTCTTGACCTCATTTCACTAACATGCAATTAGAGATAACAGTACCATTGTGTTCTATATAAGCAGGATTATTATGGTTAGGGAGTTGACATGTATGAGATAGCAGAGTAACATGCTGCTTAGTGGGGGTATAAGCCCTCCTTATCAAGTAGAGAAAAAGGGGAGAAGGTCATATTGCTAAAGCAATTGTGTTAAGCCCCATATTATTTTTACTTGTGGAAGAATGTGGCTGTGACCTATTATTCGACATTCAGCACATATAAGGTTTTAGGCCTTAGCTTTCAGTTCCTCAGATCATAGGAAATTAAAGGTTTAGGCTAATAAATTAGCTTACAGGCAATAACAGGAATCACTGACTATACTACTACTGACGGCTACAGTAAGATCTCTGATAAAAACATGTTAAGTGATGCTCACTCAAATCTGTAAAGGTGCAGAAATACTCCTCTCAAACACAGTAAAAATAAAAACAACCTAATTATCTTGTATGCCAATTAAATGAAATATGGTATACCTATGCAAAGTACTAAACAGCCATTAAAAAGGGTAACTTATATCCATGTAAATTACTTGGAATTATCATGAACATACATATGGAAAAAGGCAGGTTTCATACAGCATGTATAACATGTTCCCACTTATAATTTTTTTCTCTTCCCTGCCATATATATAGTTTATAACTTTCTATATTATTTCAACTGTAAAATACAAACTCGTTTTTACAAAACGAAAAACGCAACTTAAAAAATGGTTAAACTATTAGGCTGAGCACAGTGGCGCATGCCTGTAATCCCAGCACCTTGGGAGGCTGAGGAGGGCGGATCACGAGGTCAGGAGTTTGAGACCAGCCTGACCAACATGGTGAAACCCTGCCTTTACTAAAAATACAAAAATTAGCCGGGCGTGGTGGCACATGTCTGTAATCCCAGCTACTCCGGAGGCTGAGGCAGGAGAATCGCTTGAATGGAGGTGGGGGGTGTTGCAGTGAGCCAAGATCGCGCCAGTGCACTCTAGCCTGGGCGACAGAGTAAGACTCTGTTTCAAAAAAAAAAAAAAAAAAAGTTAAACTATTAAACTATTATGTCTCCCCATAAAATAATTAAAGTTCTAAGGGCTGTACCCAATTATTCCTATAAATTTTACTTTTTAGTCAACAGAATCAGTATATTGTAATGTTTTTCTATAACTCAGGGGCCCAAGGCCTAAATAATAAACTTTTTTGAACAAGCTGTGATGTAATGGATACAGGGCTAGTATAAGATAACTTTGAAATGGTCAAGGATCGCTTTTTATACCCTGACCCTCTCCACCTCCCACCTAATCTGTAACTCTATGTCTTAGCACCCTTCCCTTAGTCACCTTAAAAATCTCATGAAGTCAATGACGACAACAACAACAACAACAACAACAAAATCTTGTGAAGTCTAATCCCCACTGCACTTGGAAAGATTAATGCCATATTCTAGCCTCATCCACTGACAAAAGGGCTCTCTGGCGCTCTCCAGCTCCTATTTGCTCACTTTCCATTCCTTTAGTGACATACCTCTGCTGGAGGTCAGCACAACTTTGTTTAACCACTCCTTTTCTCCCAATGTACAAATGACAAATTGGTCCTGAATCTTTCTAGAGGTAACTACAAAAGGATTATGCTTGCTTTAGGATTAAATAAGCTTGTTACCTCAAACAACAATTCCAACTAGGCCGGGGCAGTGGCTTATGCCTGTAATCCCAGCACTTTGGGAGGCCGAGGCAGGAGGATGGCTTGAGTCCAGGAATTTGAGACAAGCCTGGGCAACATAGTGAGATCCTGTCTTGATTAAACAATACATTTAAAAAACAAAAAACCGGCTGGGCGCGGTGGCTCACGCCTGTAATCCCAGCACTTTGGGAGGCCGAGGTGGGCTGATCACGAGGTCAAGAGAGAGAGACCATCCTGGCCAACGTGGTAAAACCCCGTCTCTACTAAAAATACAAAAATTAGCTGGGGGTGGAGGCACATGCCCATAGTCCCAGCTACTCGGGAGGCTGAGGCAGGAGAATTGCTTGAACCAGGGAGGCAGACGTTGCAGTGAGCCGAGATCACGCCACTGAGCTCCAGCCTGGTGACAGAGCGAGACTCTGTCTCAAAATCAAAAAAACAAAAAACAATTCCAATTGGAGAAGGGCTCTGGCAAGTGGCAAGTCTGAAACACATGGTTTGTAAATCAGAAACACGTAATGATAAAATCCTTCTCAAAAACAGTCTATACATGCTAAACGTGAAACAGCTTCTGCCATCCAAAACAAAATCACAAGGTATTAGTTATTAGGCTTATGAGTTTTCTACTCCATACAAAACTAATGTATAGGGATGCACAGATTACAAGTAGTTCCTGAGGCCGGGTGCGGTGCTCATGCCTGTAATCCTAGCACTTTGGGAGGCCGAGGTGAGTGGATCACAAGGTCAGGAGATCGAGACCATCCTGGCTAACACAGTGAAACCCTGTCTCTACTAAAAATACAAAAAATTAGCCGGGCGTGGTGGCGGGCGCCTGTAGTCCCAGCTTCTTGGGAGGCTGAGGCAGGAGAATGGCGTGAACCCGGGAGGCGGAGCTTGCAGTGAGCTGAGATCGTGCCACTACACTCCAGCCTGGGTGACACAGCAAGACTCTGTCTCAAAACAAAAACAAAAACAAAAAACAAGTAGTTCCTGAATAACAGATATATTCTTTTTGTTTTTTTTTAATTTTTATGTTTTGAGAAGGAGTTACACTCTTGCTGCCCAGGCTGGAGTACAATGGCATGATCTCGGCTCACTGCAACCTCCGCCTTCCAGGTTCAAGCAATTCTCCTGCCTCAGCCTCCTGAGTAGCTGGGATTACAGGTACCTGCCTGGCTAATTTTTTTTTATTTTTAGTAGAGACGGGGTTTTACCATGTTGGCCAGGCTGGTCTCGAACTCCTGACCTCAGGTGATCCACCCGCCTCAGCCTCCCAAAGTGCTGGGATTACAGGCATGAGCCACCATGCTTGGCCTAACAGATAAATTCTTATATAGAGAACAGGTATGAGGCAGAAGTTAATCTTTTTTAAAAAAGCAACTTTTCTAACAGCATGTGACTATAGAGTAGGAGATGAAAGGGTAATTTTGGTACACAGAGATATAAGGGGATGAGAAGGGTGGAGACATCAGGGTCCTGCAGAACTTAGGTGATATTTACACTCACACAAGAGAATGAACATTGACCTTTCAAAAGCTTTTCCAAAAGCAGAAGAGGAAGGAACACTCCTCAACTCATTCCATGAGGCTAGAATTGTCCTGATACAAAGACTAGACAAAGACATCATAAGAAAACTATAGACCAATGTCACTTACAATAGCATTAAAAGGAGTAAAATATTTAGTTGTAAGACTTCTATGTAAGACTTCTACAATGAGAACTACAAAACATCATTGAAAGAAATCAAGAGACCTAAATAAATGGAAAGACATCTCATATTCAGCATTGGAAGGCTTAATATGGTTAAGATGGCAATACTGGTCAGGTGCAGTGGCTCATGCCTATAATCCCAGAATTTTGGGAAGCTGAGGTGGGAAGACTGCTTGAGCTCAGGAGTTTGAGACCAGTCTGGGATACGTGATGAGACCGTGTCTCCACAAAAAATTAAAAAATTAGCTAGGCACAGTTGCACACCCCTGTGGTTCTAGCTACTTGGGAGGGTGAGGTGAGAGGATTGCTTGAGCCCAGGAGGTCAAGGTTGCAGTGACTGCTGTCTGGTACTCCAGCCTGGGTGAAAGGACAAAACCTTTTTGGGGAGGGTGGGGAAGATGGCAATACTCCACAAATTAGTGTACAGATTCAATGAAATTCCTATAAAAATCCCAGCCTCTTTTTTTCTTTTGTTTTGCAGAAATTTACAAGCTGATGCTAAACACACATGTGACAGGATCAGGGTTCAGGCTCAGGTCTGAGCCTCAATCTGACACTCTCTGTGGAATGGGCAGTCAGGAAATAACAGATAAATAACATCAAATTTGAAGGTTTGCCGAGGAGTGAGAGAAAAAACTCCCTTTGCCTACCTCCTAGGCTTCAAAGCTTTCTGGGCCAAGACGTCAATTTAACTGCATCCTGGGTCAATGAGGCTTTTGCACATTAAGCAAATAAATCAAATTACTAGAGTTTAAGCTGTGTTTTCTTTCAGTATTCCAATGAATCACTTTTTGACCTTTGGAATTATTAGGTACTTGTCAAGTCTGATAAAATTAAGCTGGAGATATTGCAGATATGGGTGACAAATATGACTGAATAAAGTCTGAAACCATTCAAGACTATAAAATGTGTTTGAGATTTAGGGGAAGAGGAAAGACCTTTTAAAAATTATGAAGGCTATTAACAGGCTGAAGATGACTTCAATTCACCATATCTCAGAATCAGTAGGCACTCCTATAAAAGTGTGAGCGAGATAGTTAACTCATATTAACTTACGTTAACAGACTCCATGTAAGGATGCACAAGTTCACAGTAGTGCTGGGTATGCGGCACATCAAAGGCCCAAATGCCTTTTATTATCAAAGACAGGCCAAATCTAGTCAAGTTTTAGAGTTACCTATACTTACTGTATTTCTATATTAGGTTATTTCATGACATTTATTTCATGACTTTTTTTTCCTAAAAATGAATCCGAATAGCTTTATTTCATTTCTCTTTCTTCTTGAGATGTGGTCTCGTTTTGTTGCTCAGGCCAGAGTGTGGCAGGCCAGAGTGCAGTGGCACAATCATAGCTCACTGCAGCCTCAACCCCCCAGGCTTAAGGGATCCTCCCATCTTAGTAGTTGGGACCACAGGCATGCACCATCACGCTTGGATAATGTTTTCATTTTTTGTAGAGATGGGGTCTTGTAATATTGCCCAGGGTGGTCTCGAACTTCTGGGCTCAAGTGATCCTCCCACCTCAGCCTCCAAAAATGCTGGGATTACAAGCACCAGCCACCATGCCCAGCCTTTATAGTTTAATTTCATGGGAACTTGTGGGGGAAATGCTAAGAAAGGAAAGTAGAGAAAAATACACTTTATTTTCTATTTAAGTAGACCTTATTTTGTTTAACTATACTGATATTGATAGGACAAGTATTCTATTATTAAGTAACAATTAACATTCTTTTTTTTTTTTTTTTTTTTTTTTTTGAGACGGAGTCTCGCTCTGTTGCCCAGGCTGGGGTGTAGTGGCGTGATCTTGGCTCACTGGAAGCTCTGCTTCCCAGGTTCACACCATTCTCCTGTCTCAGCCTCCTGAGTAGCTGGGACTACAGGCACTCGCGACCACGCCTGGCAAATTTTTTGTGTTTTTAGTAGAGATGGGATTCCTACTAAACCCCGTTAGCCAGAATGGTCTCGATCTGACCTCGTGATCCACCTGCCTCGGCCTCTCAAAGTGCTGGGATTACAGGTGTGAGCCACCACGCTCGGCAGTAAGTATTAACATTCTATTAACTATACTGATAGGGCAAGCATTCTATTAAGTAGTTATGCATATTCTATTCAAACAAATTAGAAGCCTTCTAGATTAAAAAAAATATAGGTTTAAACTGCTTGAAAATTAAAGGGTACATGACAAATACTTACATATCATAAAAAGAATATTCAGATTGTGCACAAAGAAAATATAAACACAGATAATAGTAAGATACAAAAACATCAAGCAAACAAAGATTAATATCTTCAGAAATGTTGTATGTTTGGCAAAAGCTCCTATAACAAATAGTAGGAGGCCGGGCACAGTGGCTCCTATCTGTAATACCAGCAGTTTGGGAGTCCGAGATGGGTGGATCACCTGATGTCAGGAGTTCAAGCCCAGCCTGACCAACATGGCAAAGCCCCATCTCCAGTAAAAATACAAAAATCAGCTGGGTGTGGTGGCACATGCCTGTAATCTCAGCTACTTGGGAGGCTGAGACAAGAGAATTGCTTGAACCCAGGAGGCGGACGAGATCGCACCACTGCACTCTAGTCTGGGCAACAGAGTGAGACTCCGTCTCAAAAAAAAAAAAAAATTTTTAGATGTTCCCACTTTATACCAAAAACTATGTGGCTACACATACCAATAAAGCCCTTTTTTGCTAGCTCCATGGTGAACCTCCTTGTGATCTTTTCCAATTCATTATCCTGTAAAATAAGAAAACAAAAACAAAAGAAAAAATTGATATAAAAATCGCTTGAGATTATAGCTAGCATCTTATTTTCTATTTATAGTACATTTTCATATGTCTTCTCATGTAATCCTTAGAACAACTCATAAAGTAGGCATTGCCATTTTAAAGGTGACAAAATAAGGGATCAAAAAAGTAGGTTATAAAAACAAGATAGTAGAACTAGGGCTCAAATTCCCATTCTATTAATTCCCCACTGAAAAATACACTAAATCTTAATTAAGATTAATTTAAATATAATTATATTCCATTTAAATGGTGAATTTTAAAGAGAATAAAAATCATGCATTTATGTTTGTATATAGATAATTTAGTATTATGTAAAGCATTGTGACAATCAGTTTGAATTAACTTGGAACTGACTGGATAAAAAGTAAGGTTTTTATAGTCTTAGTTAAGATATGTGTCACTAGAATCAGATCCTGACATAAAAACTTCAGATCACAGTAATACTTTTTTCTTTTTGAGACAGAGTCTTGCTCTGTTACCCAGGCTGGAATGCAGTGGTGAAATCTCAGCCAACCTCTGCCTCCTGGGTTCAAGCAATTCTCATGCCTGAGCCTCCCGAGTAGCTGGGATTACAGGTGTGCACCACTATGCCTGGCTAATCAGATCACAGTATTTCTTAAATATGGGTATAAGTGTCTAAGTGAAGACATTATATAAATATGGGTATAAGTATATAAGTGAAGATATTAATTACGTTTTAACTAAGTAAGAAAATAATAAAACAAAAAGCAAAAAAGTAAAACAAAAGACTCATAAAAACAAAACCAAATGAAACAGAAAATGATAAAGGATATAGATATTAAGTAGGTGATCTTTATATGGCAAAACACGCTATGAGTTAATTCTTTACATTTTTCTATTCCATTTGAAAAGCAATGGGGACTACTGATCTCACTGATAGTGGGGGATACAGAGAAGCCCAGTAATTTCAAGTCCTTCATAAATGCACTGTGTGCACAAATGTCACTTTGAGGCCGGGTGCGGTGGCTCATGCCTGCAATCCTAGCACTCTGGGAGGCCAAGGCAGGTGGATCACCTGAGGTCAGGAGTTCAAGAACAGCCTGGCCAACATGGTGAAATCCCCTCTCTACTAAAAATACAAAAATTAGTCGGGCATGGTGGCGTGCACCTGTAATCCCAGTTACTGGATCAAGGAGAACTGCTTGAACCCGGGAGGCGGAGGTTGCAGTGAGCCAAGATTGCGCCATTGTACTCCGGCCTGAACAACAGAGGAAGACTCTGTCTCAGAAAAACAAAAACAACAACAACAATAAAAAACAAATATCACTTTCATACTTACAGTATAGTTCTTGGGATTGATCTTAACACCAGCTTTAGCACCCCCAAACGGCACATCTGAAAGAGAAGGCTGATGGTTGCTATTCCATATAAATGTTAAAAAAGTAAAATGACAGAAAGCACCACACAATATTAGAGAAACGTGATGCTTTAAGCTTGAATTTCTGAAAATTCAAGAAATAAACCTACCATCATTTTCTAAACTGTACTTTAAACAACATTTTGTTGAACAGAAATTGTTCAATAAAATTGGCTAGCCAAGTTCTAATATATATTTAATCAGTGCTCTTTACCACTTCTAAAAGATAATAGCTTATTTACTCTCCTTCTACTATAATTTGGTCTTATTTACAGAATGTGTTGAGGAATTGAAAACAAAGATCTAGACTTAAAATCCAATTATCTCCTATTTTAAAAAATCCCCCATGTAAAAAAAAAAGGCTATATCTTAATTTAGACTAATTGAAAAATGATGCAGGTCTTAAAGATTACAACTTGAAAAAAAATCAGTTCTGATAAGGTATATTTCTACAGCATCTTAACAGTAACATGTGTGTAAACATATTTCCCCAGAGTTCTCATTAGGCAGCAAGAAAGGCGATCACTTACCAACCACTGCACACTTGTATGTCATCAGAGAAGCCAAAGCTTTTACTTCATCTACACTCACATCAGTGCTGTAACGGATACCTGGTGGTGTTTTTAAAAAAATGTGTTGGGGTGGGTGAGAAAGAAGGGGTTATATTTAGAACAAACTTAAGTAAGCTTCAAAAAAGAAAGCTACAAATTGAAAATATCCACTTTTTACATTTTACATCCAAGCTATGTCCAAAAACACTTGAAGCAGCTTGTACATCAGAACACCATGAAAAATGAATATAAAACGTTAAAAAAACCTGCTAATAACAGTAACTATGATTTCACAAGACAAAAATCACCCTGCAATGAATTTCTGTACACTTTCCAGAAGGCTTTTTTATGTTCCTTTTACCTTTGGTTTGGGTGACCTGGTTGCAGGGAGTTCAAGAATTCAGGTTGCTTTTTTTTGGGGGGGTAGGGGTGGGAAACAGGGTCTTGCTCTGTTGCTCAGGCTGAGTGTAGTGGCACAGACATGGCTTACTGTAGCCTCAACCTCCTAGGCTCAGGTAATCCTCCCACCTCAGCCTCCTGAGTAGCTGGGACCACAAGTGCACACCACCATGCCCAGCTAATTTTTGAATTTTTTGTAGAGACAGGATCTCACCATGTTGCTCAGGCTGGTCTCAAACTCCTGGGCTCAAGTGATCCTCCCACCTTGGCTTCCCAAAGTGCTGGGATTACAGGCATGAGCCACTATGCCTGGCAAGAATTCTGCTTTCTGATAATTCACAAACATGGGCAATGAATAATCACCAGGTTCAAAATACCGTATGTCTAAACAGAGGTTTTGGCTTCAAATGGGTATATTAAAAGAGATCCTTACCTGTTATTCTCCTCACCCACTGCCAACCTCTTTCAATCTGAAAATGAGAAAGCCATTTTCCCTTTCTGAGGTTGAGTGATTCCCTTCACCACTTCTGCAAAGAGGGCAGGTAGCCAAGCAGACAGGTAGGTACTAGTGCCCCTGTATCTAGTAGCCATTACGTGTTGGTACAGGGTATACTGGAAGTGGGGATGCCCACAGCTTTGGCTTTGGGGGTCTTGGTCAATTACTCTTCAAAGTTTTGGAGTGCTAATCCACCTTTCTTTCTCTATAATCCATTGCTTCTCAATCCCAAGGAGGAAAGTCTGAGTGGGGTTGATGTTTGACTGCACAGTGCTTGGGGCACTGGGTGTTTGTGTGTGAAGGATACCCACAAGAAGCTGCAGCATTTTTTCTACCCTCCCACTCCCAACAGATTCAGCCCCTCTCGAGGGGCTGGGTACGATTTCCACTGGGAGTCACAAGTAAGTAATGGGAGCCCCAGGGAGAGCTCTTTTAAAGAATTCTGAGATTAAAAGTTTTTCAGATAGAAAATATACAATATCTCATGGACTGGCAGTTTGAGAGAACTTCCCTAGTCAATTTTAAAAGCTAGCTTTCTTACATGTTTCTGAAAACATCAACCTTAATATTGATAATGTTTTAAGATAATTTATTTATTGTACACATGACCATAAAGAGCATATTCTAAGCTGAACATACTTATTTGGTCTACTGTACAAACAAATCATATTTAGAGGAGTATGTGCTTAGAACTATATCTTGTGTATAACTGATTCTCAAATTGTGAAATAAATGTAGTCATTATTAAACTTTTGGAATGCAAAATTACAGGTAATTTTTCCAGCACACAGCAGATATCTGTATAGCTCACTCCCCCATTTCATTCAGGTCTCTGTTAAAAACTTCATTCTGAGAGGCTCCCCTTGACCACTGTATTTAAAAGAGCACCTCTTTCTCACTCCCACTTTCCTGCCTCTCCTACCTTGTTTCTTCATATCGTTTATTATTACTGACTTTGCATTATACATGTGTTTATTATCTGGCTTCCCTACCTGGCAAGTTAGCACCACGAGGGCAGACTTTGTTATGTTCACTGCTTTAATTCCTGGTTCCTAACATAGAAAATGGCATATATTAGGCACTCAAATACATGCCGAATTAATATACGAATATTCTGACTCTTAAAATTTAAAAAAGAAAGAAAAGCTATGGCCACAAAAATATTTGACATACATGTTAAGTTTTAAATAACTTACCATAAGCCTCCATACCTATCATGAAAGGACTCAAAGTATACAAAACTGGGAATGGGGGTGACGGGGAGATGATGGTCAAAGGGTACAAAGCCTCAATTAGAAGGAATAAGTTTCTTCGAGATAGATTGCACAGCATGGTGAATACAGTAAATAATAATAGATTATACATTTGGCCCAACATGGTAGTTCATGCTTGTAATCCCAACACTGGAAGGCTGAGGTGGGAGGATCACTTGAGCTTAGGAGTTTGAAACCAGCCTGGCCAACATAGTGAGACCTCATTTCTACAACAACAACAAAAAGTACTGCACATTTCAAAATCACTGAGTAAATTTCAGATGTTTTCACCAGAAAAAATGATAATTATTTGCAATTGTTTCCAGTGGTGAACAGGTTAATCAGCTTGACTTAATTATGCAATGTTGTATTCATAAATCATAAAATTACTTTGTACCTCATAAATATATATCTACAATTTGTCAATTTAAAAAATAAAAAATTTAAAAAGAATTTCCAGTCAGATAAAGCCCACAGAAAAGGGAAAAAAAAACTGTAAATAATATTAAGATGAATCATTTGTATCTTAAAAAAAAAAAAAAATTGAGTTGGGCGTGGGGGCATGTGCGTGTAGTCGAAGATGCTCAGGAGGCTGGGGCAGGAGAGTCACTTGAGCCCAGGAGTTGCAGGCTGCAGTGAGCTACGCTCAGGTCACTGCACTAAACCCCAGCAACAGAGCCAGACCTTTCCTCAAAAAAAAAAAGAAAAAAGAAAAAAAAAATTGTTTAAACACTAAAATGTGCTTTTCAAATTATTCAAAATGCTTCTAAGTAATACCACATATTATTTAATGATAACTACACTAAGCCAGGGAAATGGTAAGGCGCTGTGCCCAGGCGACCCAGCCTGCACCATCCGCTTGCATGGAGGGGTGCTAATGCCACTCTCCTAGGATGGGTGTCACGACTGCGAGGAACATCGCACATGGGGAATCTGGCACGGTGCCCTGCAAGTGGTCAAACAGGCAAATCTCAACTATTACCACTGCTATAACAAGTATTACAAAGTAATGGCATGTAACAAAGCAATTAAAAAGTCTAAACTGACAGGAGTTTGAAAAAATGACTTAATAAACCTTGGTTTCATTACTTCTACATAAATTCACAGGAAATAGTAAAACAATGTATTAATTAAGAACTAGTGCTCTCCCTCTCCCTCCCCCTCCCCCTCCCCCTCTCCCTCCCCCTCTCCCTCTCCCTCTCCCCACGGTCTCCCTCTCCCCACGGTCTCCCTCTGATGCCGAGCGGAAGCTGGACTGTACTGCTGCCATCTTAGCTCACTGCAACCTCCCTGCCTGATTCTCCTGCCTCAGCCTGCCGAGTGCCTGCGATTGCAGGCGCGCGCCGCCACGCCTGACTGGTTTTCGTATTTTTTTGGTGGAGACGGGATTTCGCTGTGTTGGCCGGGCTGGTCTCCAGCTCCTAACCGCGAGTGATCCGCCAGCCTAGGCCTCCGGAGGTGCCAGGATTGCAGACGGTGTCTGGTTCACTCAGTGCTCAATGGTGCCCAGGCTGGAGTGCAGTGGCGTGATCTCGGCTCGCTACAACCTCCACCTCCCAGCCGCCTGCCTTGGCCTCCCAAAGTGCCCAGAGTGCAGCCTCTGCCCAGCCGCCACCCCGTCTAGGAAGTGAGGAGTGTCTCTGCCTGGCCGCCCATCGTCTGAGATGTGAGGAGCCCCTCTGCCTGGCTGCCCAGTCTGGAAAGTGAGGAGCGTCTCTGCCCTGCCGCCATCCCATCTAGGAAGTGAGGAGCGCCTCTTCCCAGCCGCCATCCCATCTAGGAAGTGAGGAGCGTCTCTGCCCGGCCGCCCATCGTCTGCGATGTGGGGAGCGCCTTTGCCCCGCCGCCCCGTCTGGGATGTGAGGAGCGCCTCTGCCCGGCCGCGACCCCGTCTGGGAGGTGAGGAGCGTCTCTGCCCAGCCGCCCCATCTGAGAAGGGAGGAGACCCTCTGCCCGGCAACCGCCCCGTCTGAGAAGTGAGGAGCCCCTCCGCCTGGCAGCCGCCCCGTCTGAGGAGTGAGGAGCCCCTCCGCCTGGCAGCCACCCCATCTGGGAAGTGAGGAGCCTCTCCGCCCGGCAGCCGACCTGTCCGGGAGGGAGGTGGGGGGGTCAGCCCCCCGCCCGGCCAGCCGCCCCGTCCGGGAGGTGAGGGGCGCCTCTGCCCAGCCGCCCCTACTGGGAAGTGAGGAGCCCCTCTGCCCAGCCAGCCGCTCCGAGAGGGAGGTGGGGGGGTCAGCCCCCCGCCCGGCCAGCCGCCCCGTCCGGGAGGGAGGTGGGGGGTCAGCCCCCCGCCCGGCCAGCCGCCCCGTCCGGGAGGGAGGTGGGGGGGTCAGCCCCCCGCCCGGCCAGCCGCCTCTTCCGGGAGGTGAGGGGGCGCCTCTGCCCGGCCGCCCCTACTGGGAAGTGAGGAGTCCCTCTGCCCGGCCAGCCGCCCCGTCCAGGAGGGAGGTGGGGGGGTCAGCCCCCCGCCCGGCCAGCCGCCTCTTCTGGGAGGTGAGGGGGCGCCTCTGCCTGGCTGCCCCTACTGGGAAGTGAGGAGCCCCTCTGCCCGGCCAGCCACCCCGTCCGGGAGGGAGGTGGGGGGGTCAGCCCCCCACCCAGCCAGCCGCCCTGTCCGGGAGGTGAGGGGCGCCTCTGCCCGGCCGCCCCTACTGGGAAGTGAGGAGCCCCTCTGCCCAGCCACCACCCCATCTGGGAGGTGTGCCCAACAGCTCACTGAGAACGGGCCATGATGACAATGGTGGTTTTGTGGAATAGAAAGCGGGGAAAGGTGGGGAAAAGATTGAGAAATCGGATGGTTGCCGTGTCTGTGTGGAAAGAAGTAGACATGGGAGACTTTTCATTTTGTTCTGTACTAAGAAAAATTCTTCTGCCTTGGGATCCTGTTGATCTGTGACCTTACCCCGCAACCCTGTGCTCTCTGTAACATGTGCTGTGTCCACTCAGGGTTAAATGGATTAAGGGCAGTGCAAGATGTGCTTTGTTAAACAGATGCTTGAAGGCAGCATGCTCGTTAAGAGTCATCACCACTCCCTAATCTCAAGTACCCAGGGACACAAACACTGCGGAAGGCCTCAGGGTCCTCTGCCTAGGAAAACCAGAGACCTTTGTTCACTTGTTTATCTGCTGACCTTCCCTCCACTATTGTCCTATGACCCTGCCAAATCCCCCTCTGTGAGAAACACCCAAGAATGATCAATACAAAAAAAAAAAAAAAAAGAAAAAAAAAAGAACTAGTATTTCTTCTCCCACACATAAATCACTTTTTCCATTGCTCTTTTAGAGCCTGTGGAAGTCATCACCACATTATTTTTAATTTTCCTTGCTTTCTTAAGTGGAGGAAATGTTACTTTCTTTTAACTTAGAAACTTAAAAATTTTAACTTGCATTTAGTGGGGAGCTAAAAACTGCTGGAACCAATGATATTCATAAATCAAACAGAAGCATTCAAATGGCAAGCCTAATATTCTAGAAATAGATGTTATTAAAAATTAGAAACCAGACCCCTCCTTCCACACAAGTGTAAACAAAATGTCCATTTTATCATAAGTCATGGAATGACATGAGTCAGAAACTGTGTGTGTATAACAAAAGACATGTTCCGCTGGATGGAACCCAGGAATTCTTGTTTGTAAAGTTAAGTTTTCTTTCCCAGCTACACCCATTTAGAGAGCTCAACTGCTAAACAGTGAAGAGAAGCAGTTTCACAAATTACCTCTCACACCACAGGCATTTTCTGTAGGCTATGAACCAATAAAGGTTTAGTGAATGGAAGCACAGGAGGAGCTATAAAGAAAGTACCAGCTTAGTGGAAGAAGCCCCAGAGCCAACAGAACAGGGACAGGGAGGGGATAGAAATGAATGCAAGTGATATTGCCTGGGCTAAAGAAGAAACATTTTCATTTTAAATTTCTAGTTAACCAGTGATTCATACATGTTTTTAATTCTAGAAATTGGCAAATATTGAGTACTGGGCTACCTAAACTGGTAGTCTGAAAAACAAAAAATTTTAAAGTGCACCCATTAATAAAATACTCTGCAGCAATACTTGAGACAAAACAATCTCCAATAAGACACAATGTACCCACACACAGAAGAAGCCAGTTACTCTTCCTTCTCTGGGTTTGGAAACCAAAGATAACTATCAAAAATATACTGTCACCTGAAAATAAGTCTTAACTACATTCTAAGGGACACGAAGAGATTTATGTAGGGGCCAGATGTGGTGGCTCACGCCTATAATCCCAGCACTTTGGGAGGCCGAGCTGGGCAGATCACTTGAGGTCAGGAGTTTGAGACCAGCTTGGCCAACATGGTGAAACCCCATCTTTACTGAAAATACAAAAATTAGCTGGGCATGGTGGCACATTCCCGTAGTCCCATACTCACAAGGCTAAGGCGGAGGTTACAGAGAGCTGAGATTGTACCACTGCATTCCAGCCTGGGCAACAGTTTGAGACTGTCTCAAAAAAATTAAAAAAAAAAAAAAAAGTAAGAATATGACTGCAAAAAGGAAGGTACTCTACTTAACTCAATGGATTGGGAAAAATTAGCACAACTGGAGAATGTGAAGGACAAAATGATGTGACATATACCTCAAAGTTCTGAAAGGCAGGGAAAGCCTAGCACTTTTGAATGCCTACTCTCGTTCAAATATACTCAATTTGAAGTTGTTCAAAAAAGTCAAATAATAGGAAAATACATACACATACAAGAAAATCAGAAAATCTTAAAATATTTAAGCCAAAATGAAGCAAGAAGGATCTTATGTGATCTGAATATTGTCACTTTTTATAAAACCAAGCCTTTCCTCCTTCAGCAGAGAAGGCTGAAGGTGAACAGGACCAACAGAGATCAAACAGGGGCACAGAACAGAAACTAGAAGGAGGAAGGAAGAGATGTTTTATTCCAGAAATGGAGGAAAGTAAATTATATTTTTGTATCCCAAAGTCTTAGACAGTTAGGCATGGTGGCTCATGCCTGTAGTCCTAGCACATTGGGAGGCTGAGGCAGAAGAACTTGAGCTCAGGTGTTTAAGACCAGCCTGGACAACATAGTGAGATCCCATCTCTACACACACACACACACACACACGCACACACCGCATCTTAAAACTCTGTTAGACTCCATTGATGCATTACTAGTGTTTGGGATCAACTGGGTCTTTGGTCAACTGTGCTAGTAGGAATGAAGGTAAATACTTTTAACAAAGAGCAGGAGTCCACGGCTGGCTAAGCTAGACAGTGAATGGGCTTGGTACACAGGTGTCAGCCACAGAACTGATGCCATTAGAAACATGGCCTAAAAATCAAGGCCACCCTGCTGACAAAGTAATCTGTGCACTCAGCTCACCAGAGGAAACTAAAGACACACCACCCATGACGTTTATTATTTATCAATCTCAGTAAAGCTGGAGGAAGGGCAGGGGATAGAATGACGTATGTACTACAATGGGAACTTTTAAATCATTCCTTCTATTCTGAACAGAAACTGACTAAACAGTTATTTTATGTTAACTGGTATCCAGATGTTTCCAAAGAATATTAGTGAAATGCAGACATCTGCAACTATATACAGTACAAAGCACTGATCTGATTTTTAACTTAATTACCACAGATATTCCTTAGTATGCTCAAGTCTAATGAGCAGTACATGCTAAGTTTCTCTAGGAGAAATAAAAATCAAAAGCAGAAACTAGCTTAAGTTGCTATAGTGATGAAGAAAACAAACCAGCTCATTACTTTAAAAAAGATTCAGTGAAAACCACAATTGACTAAGCTTGAATTTTTTTTCCTTTTCCTAGCTGACTCAAAAGCAAACACAAAAGCCTCCAGCTAGTCACTGTTTTTTATAATTAGTCATTAACAAAACATTTATGAAAATTCAAGTGGTTTTAAAATTACTTGAACCTGGTTCTCTTAATAGGGTTTGATTTATTCATCAGAAATCTAATTTCCAGCTGCACTCTCTCACTTTTCAGGAACTATTTATTCAGTAACCAAGAGTTCTACCAGAAGCACAGAACCACCAGAAAAGCAAAAATGCCTCAGAACAACTCTTAATATTTATAAGTTAACACTCTTGCCACTTACTCATCAGATTATATTTTTTCACTTAATATTAATGTACCTTCTAACCCACAATAATGTAGCGTAACTTAATTTAAAATGAAGAGAGGAAGGTTAGAAGCAGGGAGGAACTCTCAATGACCACCCACAAGTAATGACCACCTGAAATACTACGTCTCAGATAAAAATTCAGACATTCAGCATGGGAAGGAGCACTGCATATAGGAGCTAAGAAAAAGTACACACTTTAGGCTGGGCGTGGTGGCTCACGCGTGTAATCCCAGCACTTTGGGAGGCTGAGGTGGGCAGATCATTTGAGGTAGGAGTTCGAGACCAGCCTGGCCAACATGATGAAACCCTGTCTCTACTAAACACACAACAAAATTAGCTGGGCGTGGTGGTGCACACCTGTAATCCCAGCTACTGGGGAGGCTGAGGCAGGAGAATCGCTTAAACCTGGGAGACCGAGGTTGCAATGAGTGGAGATTGCACCATTGCACTTCAGCCTGGGCGACAGAGAGTGAGACTCCGTCTCCAAAAAAAAAAAAAAAAACCAGAAAAATTATACTTTAATTGCTTTAGCAGCATCAATGTACTGTTTTGTATAAAGTAGGCAAATACCATCTTAGATTTTTAATCCAGTCTAAATCTTTTATTTTAACCTGAATAAATTTTGAAGAGGTAACTAAGCTTTCTGGGAAGCAAATGTTTAGCTGATATTAGAAAAATATAACCTATTGACACATCAAAGAAAAAACGGAAGAATACTTTTTTCATTAAAAATTTAAAATTATAACACATATGTATGTATTTCTATCAAAATTTAAATACAAAAAGAAAGCTGAAGACTCCCTTGACTTCCACTTATGACCCCAGTCTTCTCCTTAGGGGTGACTATTCTTAGCAATGTAAGTGTATATCCTTCCAAATCATGTTCCCTGCAATTATATATGTACATATCCATAAAACATACAGCTTTGTTTTGTGTTATTTAACTTACAGCCTGACAGATGGAAGATTATACATTAAAAGGGGGATTTTGTTAATTTTTCTTGGTAGATTCTTTTATTCTGATCTTGATTAACAGTAACTTAGCTGCACTTTCACACCAAACAGGTCTTGGAATCGGAAATGATGCTAGTTAAAATGGTGAATATAAAGTTGGATTTAGTAAAAGGTAACAATAACTTGTTATTAAAAAGTTTCAAAGGGATAAAGGCTTGAAACCTCAGCTATCCAGTTTCATATAAATTATTTACAAGTCTACGTGATAATTTGAGATGGGTCTTAAGAGAGGCAGAGGAATCCTAGGGAGGGGGAAGTGAGGCATGGACAGGCAGAGGGACTGCACTATTCAAGGGCATGATGGAGAGAAGTACGTGCCTGGATTTCCAATTTCCCTAAGGATAATTTTACACCAGATCTTCTTTATTTTAAAAATCCAATCCTTTTCCTTAATAACCCCATCTGTCCCTGATACCACCATTTTTTTCTACCAGTCTCTCAGGCTAGAAATTTTGTGGTTATCTTTGCCTCTTCTCTCCTTCATCCTGTAAATCCTACCTGTTGGGAATACATTACTGTCCTTTCTTCAAAATGTTTTATCTGTCTTTTCTTTTTCATTCTCTGCTATTAACTATAACTTCATTCTCAGTTCCACTGCTGCCTAGCTTTCTGTGCCCTGCTAGATTCATCATTATTCATCCAACAAACATAAAAGGAAAAAATTGGCCTGGCGCGGTGGCTCACGCCTGTAATCCCAGCACTTTGGGAGGCCGAGGCGGGCGGATCATGAGGTCAGGAGATCAAGACCATCCTGGCTAACATGGTGAAACCCCGTCTCCACTAAAAATACAAAAAAAAAAAAAAATTAGCCAGCGTGGCGGTGGGCGCCTGTAGTCCCAGCTACTCAGGAGGCTGAGGCAGGAGAATGGCATCAACCCAGGAGGCGGAGCTTGCAGTAAGCCAAGATCGCGCCACTGCACTCCAGCCTGGGAGACAGCGAGACTCCGTCTCAAAGAAAAAAAAAAAAAAAAAAAGGAAAAAATTGTTTTTTCTCACACATTTCTGACACCAAATGTGTGGGTTTTCCACACTAAGCAGTTCTCCAGTTCTCTGCAGATACAAACTGGGTGTCCTGCAATTCAGTTATGACACTGACTACCAGGGTTAGCACAGACCCCACAGCTCAAGGGCTCAGTCGCACAAGACTGTTCCCTACTTCAGATGCCAGTTCCAAGTCTTGGGTGCCCAGGGCACCCACACTTCTGTCCAACTTGGCTACCAACCAGGGGGTTCCCATGGCCCCCTCCTCAGGTTCAATAATGTTATAAAGGCTCACAGGACTCAGGGAAACGTTACTTATGTAAAGGATACAAATCAACAGCAACATGAAGAGGTACACAGGGCCATGTCTGGAATGTCCCCACTGCAGGAGCTTCTGTTCCCCTGGAATTTGGAGGGTACCACCCTACCCATACATGGATGCATTCACCAACCTGGAAGCTCTCTGAACTCTCCCCATACTCCAGCCATCAGTTAGGGTTTGTATAGAGGTTCCATTATGAGGGCATGACTGATTGCTGATTAAACTCAATCTTCAGCCCCTTTCCAATCTCCAGAGGTCAAAGGGTGGGACTGAAAGTTCCAAATTTCTAATTATGGCTTGGTCTTTTTGGTGACTAGTCCCCACCTTGAAGCTACCCAGAAGCCCATTAAGAGTGTCCTAGTTAGAACAAAAGATGCTCCTATCACTCAGGAATTTGCGACATTCAGGAGCTCTGTGTTGGGAACCAGGCAAAGAGACCAAATATATTTACTGTCACAAGCCCTTATTTCTCATTATTTACAAATGTAGTTTGTCCTCATGACCCCCTTACACACAGTTCCACTTCCTGCCTTGGGTGAAGCCACCCCCTCTTTATCTGAAATGGCCTTATCCAACTCCTATCCAGCCTTCTCTGTTCCCACATCAAGACTGTCTGTCTGCCAGGCACGGTGGCTCACGCCTGTAATCCCAGCACTTTAGGAGGCCGAGGTGGGCTGATCACATGAGGTCGGGAGTTCGAGACCAGCCTGACCAACATGGCAAAACCCTGTCTCTACTAAATATACAAAAATCAGCTAGGTGAGGTGGTGCATGCCTGTAATCCCAGCTACTTGGTAGGCTGAGGCAGGAAAATTGCTTGAACCTGGTAAGCAGAGGTTGTAGTGAGCCAAGATCGCGCCACTGTATGCCAGCCTGGGCAACAAGAGCAAAACTCTGTTTCAAAAAAAAAACAAACAAAAAAACAAATAAACAAACAAGATTGTCCTTGGTTTCCTTGAACTCCTACTGCAACAACACATGATTTACTTTGTTTTGTTTTTTTTTTTGTCATTTATTGACTGGTTCTAGGAAAGGAAAATGTAGAAATGGAATACTGAGCTTATAGCAAAACAAAAAAGACATAGGGTACAAAGGAGATTTGAATCTGCTCTACTTGGGAGAAATCAATGAAAAAAAATATTCCAAGAAATAAAAAAATTCAACTTTGTTTTTTTAAAAGAACCCTCTGCATAAAGTTCAGAGATCTTGCCTGCAGGAACAAAAAACACATAATAGAAAAATTGATTTACTTAGAATATAGACTATAGTTCATAATAAAAGCAGTCCTTATTTGGTAAACCTTCAATACGAGTACATCACCCTTGGTTATTTCTTTGCTCTTTCTCTCTTGGCATAAAAGAAAAAAAAAATTCATGCAAAATCCTACTAAGGCCCAATATGTACAAAATATCTTTTAAAAGTCCTATGTTGATATATTTGTGATAATGACAAACGATAAAAGAAGTCATACTACTGACAACCTTTGAAATTTTCATTTGTCATCTTTCACATTTTCCTCTAGCCTAGAAGCAAATCAGAAGAATTACGTCTGATAGACTTTCTCCAAGAATAATAATCAAGAGAAATAGCAATTCATAATAAACAAAGCATTTTCTTAGTTTTTAATGAAGAAAACTAAGAAAGTAATTTCAAAATTATTCAATAGAAAATCTTTAAAGATAAATGGACTACACACTGGTAGAGAAATGAGTTGTTCTGGCTAACACATTAATCTCTTAAACACCAAAGTCTTCAAACCTCTTTTGATGGAAAACTGTTTAAAATGTTATTTCAGGTCTTCGGAGTTGGGTGTAGGGGAAAAAGGTTATTTCATTTCCTTAGCAATTAGAATAAATGGACCTCTAGAGATATCATCTATGCTGAGTTTTATATGCAAAGCTGTTTGAATATGTATTTTTCTAGGAAGAAGGTAGGTCTTCTAATAGCTTTTAACAGAAATTTCAAAGGTATCTATGATCCAAAGTATTAGGAAGCATTGTGTCAATGGCATGAAGTGGTTCTCAATCAGCGCTTACAATTAAAAGCCTAAGATACAATTTGTAACTTTTTGCATAAATAAATCCCAGACAACAATGATTAAGGTGGGTGCTGGAATCAGATGCCCAGAATCTGAACCTCAACTCCACTACGTACTAGCTGTGTCACCCTGCCAAAGGACACTTCACTCCTCAACCTTAGTAGCCACATTTGGAAATCAGGGACAACAGTGTATTGCATGAGGCATAAAAGCAATGATACATGAAAAGTTCTTACATGCATTGTTGCTATAAGGCATAGAACTGATGATGCATGAAAAGTTCTTAATAAAATGCCTGGCACACACAGAGCTGAATAAATGTTAGCCTTTGCTAATATCTGACCTTGGTGAAGGCAGTTGACCTCAAGTGAAGGCAGAATGTGTGTGGCTGCAGAATCTTCTAGGTGTAGTTGCCTTTTTGTAAAGATAATCGGAAGGTCTTGAGTAGCTCCTTCTCCTAGTTTGTCTTCTTGTCCTTAATAAAGCCTTTCCTGCCTTTAACAGTAGTATTTCACATATTAACAATTCCGACTTGATAGTGAACACTTGAATCTGTATTAATTTCTGCCTCTGGAAAGGGGAAAATATTGATTCATTTGAATAACTAGTCAGTTTTAGACAGCGGCATTAGATTTAAGACTGTTCATGGTTATATTGGGGGAAGGACTTGGGGTAGAGCTGCTTCACTTTTCATTTTGTAACTTTCGTTACTATTTGATTATGTGAATCATGCATGTGTATTTTATGGGTTGCTGAGTACAAAATTTATGGGCTATTTATGAATCAATGTGCTCTAAAGTGATACTAGAGATTTTTCTCTTTATTACTTACATTGTAAAAGCCTAATTATTGGGTAAAATAAATAGAAAAGAAGAACAGTCACGTGGCAGAGACTAGTGTCTAGGATTTTTTCAACATCTACAGGTTAGTATTTTAGTTTTTAATGGTTACAGAACCCTTAGTATTTTTAACATAAGTAAATAAAAACCGATTTTCCTAAGCACTCTGAATTATTAACAGCGGTAAACCTAATTTCTTCCCACTATATGCCAAAAGTTCAGGCTCAATTTTTATTTCTTGTACTTAAACACTACAAGTTGTACTGAACTTTAATATATATTGGTGCTTAGGATCCAATTTTTGATGCCCTAATTCTTACAAAGTATACTTTGGATAATGAGTGAGCAGCTGTTTGTCTTCCTGCACGTGGGGCTTTACTGCCAAAAGCAAACTTGCTAAATGGATTCATACACGCAAGTGACAGAAAGACTGAAATCTGATGTACAGATCACTACCATTACCAAGCGTCTTCATTTTCTAGTATACTTTGGGAGAAAAGACGCATTTGGCTTCCATGAAATAAAAAGGCATAAGGGCAACACATTTCCGTATTTAAATAAGATGTATTAAAAACAACAACCTCGGGGCTAAGTGCTTTTAAAAGACACACAAATTACCTATCCTCTGACTGAACTTTCAGAAAAGTCCTAAATTAAATTCACCTACAAAGGTTATATTTTATCTGTGGCAGCAGATGCAGACACACAGCCACTTAAAAATATTAGAAACTGTGAGTTTATTAAAAGTTACCTAAGTTTTGATGGTTGTCAATTGAGCACAGCAAAATAAGTCAGAAACATTTTTTCCCCCAGTGAAGGCAGAGAAATATCTCATTTTAAATCAGTATCAGTGCTTTCTATAGTCTTCCCTTAAGCGCTAAACAATGACATCCCAGAGGCTGAGGGCGTCTTTAACACTGCATTGACTCCGGTCTTCCCTTGCATTATGTCATCAAGATTCCACTGTTTCCTTCTGGCATTTTGACTTTTAAAAACTAGTTACTGGATTAATATAGGGTACACTTTTTTGGGTACTAATATTTGTAATTAAAAGACTTAGGGTCAATGTATGAGAGAACTCCATCTACGGTCCATCAACTATATGTAAATTATGATAATTTTAGAAAATTTTATGATAGTAGCATCAGTGATAGGGAATTTTAATAGTTTTAATATCAAGACAACTGGGGGGGGGCAGACTGGAAGAGAAAGTTAATTGACTCCTACCATCAATAAATTGCTATTATCAATCTGTACTTTCCCTCCAAACTGACTTTAAAACAATAAACTTCCTTCTAAAAAGGTAGACTGGTCTCAGGCAGAACCATAGCAAATGAAATACAGATAATTTACTCTGGGAAAGTTAATAGAACAATCTTTGATAATATTTCCAAACCCACCAGAACTTTTGAACCAGTCTTCTCAAATCAGTCGCATATTCTCACACTATGCCCCTTTGCTGGAAATATTTTTAAGGCCTCACTTAAACTTCCCTTCAGATCCTTTAGCTTACCCTTTCAAATCCTTAACACAGACAAATCTAACGGCCTCAGGTACATGTAGTAACTGGGAAAAGAAAAGCACAAAAACAGTGTGTATTATTAAATATTTACTTGGAAAAAGTACACATCAGCCACCAAGTCTTATAACCATCTGTTTCCCTTAGAGATTATTGCTAGATTGTTGCTTTGCTTCAACCTCAAGAATTTTAATTTAGAAAACTCAGGGATAAGGTTGTTCTTGAGGGAAAATGAGATACAGAAAGCTGAAGGTTGGTAAAAGGGTGGAGAGAGGCAGATGAGGTTTTTTTTTTTGGCAAAGAACCAATGGGAGAGAAGACAGGTTAGTGGGGAGAGGTAAGAAGAACGTGTTAAAATATGTTTAAGAGGGAAAGACAGAATTTCATAGGGATTATCCAAAGCATTTAAAAAAATCTCAATCACCTAATATATTCTGTGTTTCTAAGACTAGAGTGGGACTACAAAGGTTAACAATTTCTTAGACGTTAAAAAAGCTTTAAGAAAGAAGACCTGTCTCTCTTACAATGCACATTCTCTGCAAACAAGGGTGATAAATGGGTAGATAGATCTGGGGATGTCTTGAACACAAAGCATGGAAGGCTATAGTACCCAAATTTTGCTGATCATCTGTTTAGTATACTGTTTATTAAGCAAACTAAAATATTTAAGGGCTTTCATAGCTATGTAATCTTCCCCAATCCAGAAAGCCTTTCAAATTCCTGAAGATAATAAATTTGTCACTTTGTAGAGGCCAATTTTCTTTGATGTTCTATCAATGCTTGCAACAGTTTACTAGTAACAATTCAGTTTCTCCCTGTTTATATGCTGGGGGTTAATAGCATGTTTTTTTGTAAATGGGATAAACGGAACAGAAAATTGTATCTTACACTCTAGTACAAGCAAGTGCTACAGTAACAGTGCTTTGGTATGGCTGACCCAATTTGTTGCTAGGTTCAATATTTTGGCATTAAAACTGCTGTGGCAACAAGAGAAAGAGGACTCACAAACTATGGTAAACGAGTTGCTTCAGTGAGTTTGCGGAGCTGCGACTTATAAAAACAGGAGAGAGCTGGGCATCTGAAGAATCGAAGAAAAAGGATTTCAGAGACCAAATCATCCTGCAGAAAACCACATACACTGATTTATCTGTACACCTTTTAAAGGACTGGCAAATGCTGCCAGCAAGATAGTAAAAAATAAACTTGATGTCCGTTTTAAGAAAACGATGCAACTCAATATTTGCTAAACATTGCCTGAACTTCCTCCAACATCCTTATTTGCCTTTCTTTGGAGTCTGAACTTGTTTTCCTGGTTTGGATAATAAGGGAGTGGTAGGAAGAAGGCAGGCAAATGTAGGAGACTGACGGTGTGTACATTTTATACAATTTTGAAGCTAGAAAGGAAATCAGAGGTCAAAGTGGTTCAAACATTGGTTTTGGCTGAGGCAACCAGAGCTAGGGGATAATTAAGCTCCAAAGTTAAGTCCTAGAAGTGGGCGGGGTCAATGCAAATTTAGTAAATCTTTAAAAACAACCTTTGTCCCCCCTGCTGGGAACACCAGCACCGCTCAAGTTTTTTCCGGTACAGAGAGGATTTCTAAAAATCCTCATAAGTCAGCGGGCATAACTGAAAGACCACAGAACCAGGTTTACTGAGACATGGGTCTAGCCCAACATCCTCTGTGCTTCTCAGCCAATCCACCTCCAACAAGACTCCTCGCCTCCCTGGGCTCTTTATTCCATATAATTTTTCTTTTTTACAGTAGACAAAAGTGGTTTGTCCTTTCCATTTTATGTTACTAAAGAGGTATGATGCAATGTATTGGGGGGAAAAAAGCTCTTATTTGCTCGAAGAAAGCAATCTGACTACAGAGGCCAAATCTACAGACATTAAATGATTTAAACCACAGGATAACCCAGTGACTACCAAACATTATCTGACCCCTTTCTTCACGTACTATATTTTTCCTGAAGCTCAAATTCAGGGCTAGCCAGGACCAGTACACACCCCCAGAGCTATTTCATTCCATTGGCTGGCTGGCCATCCGCAGCCTACAACCTGTAAATTTACTGTCAGGACGCCAGGTGTTTATTTGTCAGAGATATTACATTGCTTGTGATTTTTTTGTGTTTTTCCTTTTTTTTGGTATAAAACAGAACTTGTCAGAATGGGAAAATTACTTAATTGAAACGATTAACGCGTGATTAGTAAATTCCTTTGGTTAATAAAACTGTCTAGATTTCAAACTTAGAAGCCAAGTCATTTTCTATGTTCGGATATCATCTGTCACTATTGGAACAGGAGTGAACAAATACCAGAAAATAATTTGACAGCTTGCATTTAGGGGAGACTCACAAAAGCCCAAGAACACTGACGAGGCATTATCACACGGGCAGGTCATTCCCTTTCCTAGAAGTGCATTTCGGCAGGACCCGCCGTGTGTGACACAGACACCGGGACCAAAAGGAGACCGGTGCAGCGTCTACTCTGCATGCAAGATCAGCATATACAGAGGCCCGGGGTGACGGCGCGGGGGAGGGGGCAGGCCAATCGCATGATGATTTTAAGGCGGAAAAATCACCATCCACAGAGCCGGCCACATCCGAGGCGGGGTGACCCGGGCGGGGACCCGGCCCGCTCCAGCTGGGCTGGGCTGGGCTGAGCAGCGGCCCCGCACCGGCAGGAGGCCGGAGGGGAGGGCCGCAGGGGAGGCAGGGAGGGCGGGACGGGGCCCGGCCGACGCTCACCTCCCTTGCAGGGCGTGCGGTGCTGGCTGTGCTGGGCCCGGTAGCCTTCGATGACCTCCCAGGAGCCGTCGTCGCGCCGGATGGGGAAGGAGAGACTCAGCACATGGTTGCAGGGCTTGATGATCCGCAGGATGCCGCGCACCCGGTTCCGCTTCTGCTCCTCGCTCTCCCGGGTCCTCAGGTCCTCCACCAGCTTGTCCTCCACGATGCTGGCGCCGCGATCGAAGAAGCCCTCCACCATCTTGAAGAAGTTGGGGTCGTCCTCGCGGTCGGCCACCGCCTCGCTGTAGTGGCGCCGGGCGGCCAATGCCAGCCCCGGCTGCGGGGCGGCGGCGGGCTGTCCCCGGGCCCAGCCCAGCAACGCGGCCGAGTCGGCGGACGCCGAGCCCAGGGCAGCGGGCCCGGCCCGGGACAGCAACAGCGCTTCGCCCAGGTAGCGGTACATGGCCACAAGCGGAGGGGAGGTGCGTGATGGTCGCGAAACAGGCGCGCTTTCTCAGACTCCCCGCGACTAGGGAGGAAGGGTCCCGCGCGGGTTGCCCTTTTAAGCCGCAGCTTCCTGCTTGCCCGGCTGTCCCCTCCCCTCGGGCGCTCGCCACCTAACGGGGAGGACGGACTTCGGGGACAGGGCGCCGCCCAGGGCGCCGGGCCTCCGCCTCCGCCGCGGCCTCCCCGGGCCTCGCTGGCGGCAGCGCGCGCCGGCGGGGCGTCGGGGGCGCGCAGGCGCGGGCGGGCTCGGCGCGCACGCTCGCGCGCCAGTGGGGAAGGGAGGGGAGGGGAGAGGAAGGGCGGGGAGGAGAGTGGAGGGGAACGGACGGGAGGGGCAGGGAGGGGAAGGTCGGGGCGGGTCGGGGCGGGTCGGGGCGGGCCCACGGGCGGCCGGATTTGCCCGGAGGCCGCACCCGCCTCCGGCGGGGCTCTCAGGTATGTGCGCCGCGGGGGTCCCTCAGGGGGGTTGGGGGTAGCCCAGGGAGGTCGGGGTCGGGGGCTGGCCTCTGTAGGGCGCTCAGAGGCCGAGTCCCCCCGAGCGCCGCGTGGGTGAGGCTTGGCGGTCTGGTCGGGGACCGGGTCATGTGAGTCACGGGCGCCCCTCCTTTCCGCCCGCGCGCCCTCGGAACGGGCGGCCCACCCTGGCCTGTCCTCTGGCGGCCTCAGGCCGGGGCCGGGCGTGCAGGGGCTGACACGTGGGCAGGAAAGCGAGGCAGAGCCGCCGCCGCGTAAGGCCGGGCTGAGGGCTCGGCGTCACCAGCCAGGGCTGCAGAGAGCGGCGTGGCACCCGGAGTTGGATTATGCGTGGCTGGCGTGAGCTGGAAGGGAGTCACTCGCCCACAAGCTCTCACCACGCGAGCTTTTATTGTCCCGTTCAACTGCTCCGCAGTGTGGAGATCGCATAGTTACGCACGTCGTGGTTGTGTCGCCCCACAGTACTGACTGCTTCACCTTTGCAGACAGAGGCTCCGGCCCGGCGCGGTGGCTCACGCCTTTAGTCCTAGCACTTTGGGAGGTCGAGGCTGGAGGATGGCTTGAGCCCAGGAGTTCGAGGCTGCAGTGAGCTACGATAGCTCCACTGCACCCCAGCCTGGGCAACAGAGGGAGACCCTATCTCCCTCTGAAATAGTCTAAAATAAGGAAACTAGAAATGCGATAATGCCCCCAGGAAATTCTTTCTCAGGAATATATGTATTTGTTAAATGGTTCAGTATATGATTTATTTTTTATTTTATTTATTTATTTGAGATGGAATCTTGCTCTGTCGCCCAGGCGGGAGTGTAGTGGCACCATCTCGGCTCACTGCAGCTTCCACCTCCCTGGGTTCGTTCTAGCGATTCTCCTGCCTCAGCCTCGGGGTAGCTGGGATTACAGGCCCGCGCCACCACGCCCGGCTAATTTTTGCATTTTTAGTAGAGACGGGGTTTCGCTGTGCTGGCCAGGCTGGTCTCCAACGCCTGACCTCAAGTGATCCGCCCGCCTAGGCCTCCCAGAATGCTGGGATTACAGACGTGAGCCACCGCGCCTGGCCTCAGTATATGATTTATAAGCTTTATGCTGTATGAGGGTTCAGTTATGTATTTATACATACTTGATAGGAAATGCTAAAGTTCACATTCCTATGGATAGCTTTTGGTGCTTTTCAAACTAACGAGGCTGGCACGGTGGCTCACGCCTGTAATCCCAGCACTTTGGGGGCCAAAGCAGGCTGATCGCTTGAGGCCAGGAGTTCAAGACCAGCCTGGGCTCGTCTCTATAAAAAGAAAATAAAAAATAAAGCTCTAATGACAGTCATTAAAACTAGCTGCCAAACACCACATTACTAGCGTTAGCGGTCTCAGTGTACTTGGGTGGTTTTAAAATGACACCCATTGGACCTGCAAAACGATGGTGCTTCCCGATATGTTCATGTTATTCATCTTTTAGAATATGGAAGAGAAAGTTCTTAGTTCTCGAAATATTGTGTAAAATATAAGGTGACAACCTGGATCTGTTAAATGACATTCATCTAAGTGTACTCTCAAAGTCAAAATTATCTTTTCATACAGGTGGAACTTATATTTTACCTTACTTGCTAAATAAGTCATTGTCATTAATTGTATTTGCACTGTGTTTTTCAGTGAAAAATGTACTCTGACCTGAATCCTGAATTTTCCTTGATGGTCAAAAGATTAAGGTATCAAATTTCCTTTTTTCTGGATGTATTATCGTTTTACTCTCTTACATTGCAATCCCCCACTCCTGCAAAAAACCCACGGAGTTTCAGAATAAAATGATTAGCATCAGTAAACATGGAAATATTTTTCTTTTTGGATTAAATTATTTGTTTATGTTCTGAGGAAAAATCTTTAAAAGCTTAGTTTTATTGTTTTTGTTGTTCTTTATAACCTTAGCCTTCAGAAAAATAAATGTTTAACTTTGCTTCTTCTGTGACTTGTTCACCTGAATTCAAGAAGGTGGAATTGGGCCTAAGGAGGTGGCTCACGCCTGTAATCCCAGCACTTTAGGAGGCTAAAGTGGGCGGATCACTTGAGGTCAGGAGTTCGAGACCAGCCTGGGCAACACAGTGAAACCTTGTCTCTACTAAAAATACAAAAATAAGCCAAGCGTGGTGGGGGGCCTACAAAAATTAGCCAGGCGTGGTGGCGGGGAGGGGGTTGGGCAGTGCTTGTAGTTCCAGCTACTTGGGAGAACCACTTGAACCAGGGAGAGAGGTTGCAGTGAGCCGAGATCGTGCCATTGCACTCCAGCCTGGGCAACAGAGCGAGTCTTCATCTCAAAAAAGGAAAGGCAGAATTGAAGAAGCTTTGGAAGAGGTGAGGAATAGAGCTGTGGAAATTACTATTTTTTTTTTAATTGAGAATCTCCTGTGTGTAGGTGCCTTACAAACTGGCTTCATGAGTACCCTATAAAACAGATGTTTTTATTTTTAAAATCATCATGGTTTTGTTTTGTTTTGTTTTTTTGAGACAGTCTTGCTCTGTTGCCCATGCTGGAGTGCAGTGGTGCAATCTCAGCTCACTGCAGCCTCTGCCTCCCAGGTTCCAGTGATTCTCCTGCCTCAGCCTCCCGAGCAGCTGGGATTACAGGCGCCCGCCACCATGCCAGGCTAATTTTTTTGTATTTTTAATAGAGACGAAGTTCCACAGTGTTGGCCAGGCTGTTCTCAAACTCCTGGCCTCAAATGATCTGCCCGCCTTGGCCACCGAAAGTGCTGGGATTACAGGTGTTGAGCCACTGCACCTGGTCATTATGTTTTAAAATTACATACAAGTTGTTAAAAAAATATGAACAGCAGAAATAGATTTTAGAAAAACAGAATGAAATTATCCATCTCTTCCCCCATTTAGTGAATATTTGGAGTATTTCTTTTCACACTGTAGGTATTATAATTCCTGATTTATTAGAAGCAGGGAGTGGCTGGGCGTGGTGGCTCATACCTGTAATCCCAGCACTTTGGGAGGCTGAGGCGGGCGGATCACCTGAGGTTGGGAGTTCGAGACCAGCCTGACCAACATGGAGAAACCCCATCTGTACTAAAAATACAAAATTAGCCTGGTGTGATGGTGAATCCCTGTAATCCCAGCTACTCAGGAGGCTGAGGCAGGAGAATTGCTTGAACCTGGGAGGCGGAGGTTTCAGTGAGCTGAGATTGCGCCATTGCACTCCAGCCTGGGTAACAAGAATGAAACTCCATCTCAAAAAAAAAAAAAAAAACAGGGAGTGAGGCCCACAGAAACCAAACAAATTGTTGATGATCACCAAGCTTGTAAATAGGGTAAGATTCAAACCTGTGTATCTGACTCCAAAGTTATACTATTTATACTATTCCAAGGAGTATTTTAAGTATTTGTTCCATTTAGTTAGAAATTATTTACTGTGATATAAAGTCTAATGAATTTCAACTTTAGATTTATGATTGCTTTTGTAAAATATACAGATAATTTGCAAAGTAAGGTTTTTTTTTATTTTTATTTTTCGAGACAGGGTCTCACTGTGTCACCCAGGCTGGAGTGCGGTGGCACGATCACAGTTTACCACAGCCTGGACTTCCTGGGCTCAGGCAATCCTCCCACCTCAGCCTCCTGAGTAGCTAGGACTATAGGCACCTGCCGCCACTCCCGGCTAACTTTTGTCTTTTTGGTAGAGGTGGGGTTTCACTATGTTGCCCAGGCTGGTCTCGAACTCCTGGGCTCAAGCGATATGCCCGCCTCTGCCTCCCACAGTGCTGGGATTCCAAGTGTGAGCCACCATGCCTCACACAATAAAGTTTAATTATTTGTAGTAATTTCCCATTCAAACGAAGACCAAAATTCAGCTTGAAGGGAACATTCAATAGCATTCCACAAAGTCAAATGAGTTTTCTGCCTTAGAGTTTTCCTTAGCTGGTTTAAAATTCCAGGTCTGTTTTTCTTGATCCATAGCATGCTTTTTTCTCTCTTAAAAATATTTTAGAAGAAGATTGTTAGGATTTAGAAAAACATAGCATATAAATTCTTGAACCATTCATTTTTAAAAATAATTTAATTTGAAAGGTAAAAATATACTTTCTACTTTCTGTCTCACTAAATCAGTCTATTCTGGACTTTTCCTATAAAAGATGTATGTGGCCCTTTGTGACCGTCTTCTTTCACTTGGCAGAGTATTTTAAAGGTTTATGCGTGTAGCATGTATCAGGTACTTCATTTCTTGTTATGGCTACATAGTTTTTGTTGTATGACTGTACCACATTTTAAAAATCTATTCATCATTGATGGACACTTGGATTATTTCCACTTTTTGACTATTCTGAATGATGCTGCGGTGAACTTTTGTGTGTGCATATGTTTTCAGTTCTCTTGGGTGCGTTTATACCTAGGAATGGTACTTCCATATTTAAATTTTTGAGGTACTGCCAAACTTTTCCACAGTGGCTACACCATTTTAATTCTTACCAGCAGTGAATGAAGGTTCCAATTTCTCTACTTCTTCACCAACACTTGTTATGTGTGTTTTTTATTATAATCATCCTAGTGGGTATGAAGTATTTATTTGCAGTTCCTTGATGACTAATAAAATTTAGCATCTTTCATGTGCTTATGGACCATTTTTATGTCTTATTTGGAGAAATGTCTATTCAGATCCTTTGCCCATTTTTAAGTCAGGTTGTCTTTTATTATTGATTTGTAAGAGTTTTTTTTTAATATGTTCTAGATGTAAGTTCCTTACCAGATTTGAAAATGTTTTCATCCATTCTTTAGGTTATATTTTCCCATTTTTCATAGTGACTTTGAAGCACAAAAGTTTTTAATTTTGATGAAGTCCAATTTATAAATGTTTTCTTTCGATACTTATGCTTTTGGTATCATATGTAAGAAATCATTGTCTAATTGGACTTCATGAAGATTTACTCCTTTGTTTTCTTCTAAGAGTTTCATAGGTTTAGCTTTTACATTTAGGTTTTTATCCATTTTGTGTTACTTTTTCCGAGAAAAGGATCCAGTTTCATTCTTTTGCACGTGGCTATCCAGTTCATTTGCTCAAAAGACTATTTCTTTCCCATTGAATTGTCTTCACACTCTATGAAAAATAAATTGACCTAAATGTGAAAGTTTATATCTGGACGCCAGTTCAGTTCATCCATATGTCTATCCTTATATCAGTATACATTGTCTTGATTACGCCAGTTTTTTTTTTTTTTTCGAAATGGAGTCTCACTCTGTTGCCCAGGCTGGAGTGCAATAGCGCGATCTTGGCTCACTGCAACCTCTGCCTTCCAGGTTCAAGCAATTCTCCTGCTCCAGCCTCCTGAGTAGCTGGGATTACAGGTGCGTGCCACTACGCCCAGCTAATTTTTGTATTTTCAGTAGAGATGGGGTTTTATCATGTTAGTCAGGCTGATCTCGAACTCCTTGACCCAGGTGATCCGCCCGCCTCGGCCTCCCAAAGTGCTGGGATTACAGGCATGAGCCACTGTGCCAGGCCGATTACTCTAGCTTTGTAGTAAATTTTGAAATTGGGAAATGTGAGTCTTCCAAATTTTTTTTTTCCAAGATTGGTTATTCTATCTCCATATGAATTAGGATCATGTTTCCAATTTCTGCAAAGAAGTCAGCTGGAATTTTGATAGGGATTATGTTGAATCTGTAGATCAATTTGGGAATTAGTGTCATTTTAACAATATTACATCTTCTGATTCATTAACATGGGATATCTTTCTGTATATGTAGGTCTTTTAAAACTTCTCTCAGGACTGTTTTATCACTGTCAGAGGATAAGTTTTGCACTTCTTAAAACCAAGTAAGCTAAGTTAGCAATTCCCAAAAATTATATGAGATGGTAACTCCCGAAATTCTGTGGCATAACAAGATTATTTCCTTAATGGCAAGCATATTCTGGCCCCAGAATAATTTAGAATCAAGTATAGAATTCAAGAGAATCAAGGCTGCAGCAGTAATACTTTGAGTCTATACCCTTGTGTATATTTGGCTTAAATGTTTTAGGAGAATTGGCCTTTGAAAATTTAAGATATTTGTTATTTCAAAATAAAATGTGTAATCAACTAATACAAAGCAAGTTTTGTACTTTTTGTTGAATTTATTACTAAGTATTCTTTTTGATGCAATTGTAAGTAGAAATATTTATTTATTAAGAGATAGGGTCTTACTGTGTGGCCCAGTATGGCCTTGAACTCCTGGGCTTAAGACATCCTCCTGCTGCAGCCTCCTGAGTAACTGAGATTACAGGTGTGCACCACCTCGCCTGGCTCAGAATGGTTTTCTTAACTTCATTTTTAGATTGTTCACTGTGAATATATCGAATTACAATAGTTTAGGCTGGGCATGGTGGCTCACGCCTGTAATCCTAGCACTTGGGGAGGCTGAGGTGGGTGGATAACTTGAGGCCAGGAGTTTCAGATCAGCCTGGCCATCACAGAGAAACCTTGTCTTTACCAAAATCACAACAAATTAATTAGCTGGTTGTGGTGGTGCATGCTTGCAATCCCAGCTACTGGGGAGGCTGAGGTACGAGAATTACCTGAACCCAGGAGGTGGAGGTTGCAGTGAACCGAGATAGTTCCACTGCACTCCAGCCTGGGCGACAGAACGGTTTTTGTATGCTTCAACCTTACTGAACTCATTTATTCATTCTGATATTTACTTTAGTGGATTCTGTATGATTTTCTATATGCAAGATGCTGTCATTTGCAAATAGAGATAGTTTTTCTTTTTTTGTTTCCAATCTGAATGTGTTTTATTTCATTTTCTTGCCTAATGCTCCTCATTAGTTTTCAATGTTGCATAGTATTTTATTGCATGGACGCACCATAATTACTTTTACCAATCTCTTATTGATGGACATGAAGGTTATTTCCAAACTCTTGTGGTTATAACAATGCTGTAATAGATAACCTATTACAAAGAACAGTTCTCAACTCTTTTGGTCTTGGGACTACTTTACCTATTTATGTATAAGTTTCAAGTTTGGGCTTAGAAAGAATTTAATAATCATGCTAATTTTGTTTTGTTTTCTTTTTTTTTACTCCTGGACCCAAGCGGTCTTCCCACCTCAACCTCCCAAGTAGCTGAGACTACAAGGGTGAACCATCACCCTGGGTAATTTTTAAATTGTTGGCTGGGCACAGTGGCTCACGCCTGTAATCCTAGCACTTTGGGAGGCTGAGACAGGCAGATTACCTGAGGTTGGGAGTTCAAGACCAGCCTGGCCAACATGGTGAAACCCTGTCTCTACTAAAAACACAAAAAATGAGCCAGGTGCAGTGGTGCGTGCCTGTAATCCCAGCTACTCAGGAGGCTGAGGCAGGAGAATTGCTTGAATTCAGGAGGTGGATGTTGCGGTGAGCTGAGATCGTGCCACTGAACTCCAGCCTGGGCGACAGAGCAAGATTTCATTTCAAAAAACAAAAAGAAAAAAATTTTTAAAAATTGTTTTGAAGAGATACGGTTTCCCTATGTTGCCTAGGCTGGTCTCATGCGATTCTCCTGCCTTGGCCTCCCAAAGTGTTGGGATTATAGACATGAGACACCACAAATTTAAACAAGGACTTTTTTTATTTTTTAAAGAGATTACTTTTTCTGAGTAAACAAGGACTTTTAAAACAAGGTACTAAAAATCTGGCTGGGCGTGGTGGCTCGCTCCTGTAATCCCAGCACTTTGGGAGGCTGAGGTGGGCGGATCACGAGGTCAAGAGATCAAGACCATTCTGGCCAACATAGTGAAACCCCGTCTCTGCTAAAAATACAAAAATTAGCTAGGTGTGGTGGTGCACGCCTGTAGTCCCAGCTGCTCAGGAGGCTAAGGCAGGAGAATCACTTGAACCCGGGAGGCAGAGGTTGTAGTGAGCCGAGATCTCACCACTGCACTCCAGCCTGGCAACAGAGTGAGATTCCGTCTCAAAAAAAAAATTTTTTTTAATAAATAAATAAATAAAAATCTTGAAATTTTTATTAGGTCCTGGTGTTTCTAATTTTAATATGATTTAGTTCTCAAGTGCTAGTTAATACTTCATTAATCAGCCAGATGGAAGTGGGGATACTATGGAAACAGCATAGGCAAAGCTTAAAGATAAATGAGACCATGGTTTGAAAATATAGGGTGGCATGCGCTTTGGTTCAAGGCAATTTGATCATCACAACAATTTGGCTTAAACAGCACTTTGGTTGAAAATGAATATCCCCTAGTTATGTGTTTTTCAAGTATTGGTCATTTTGGTATATCATGAGTTGTTTTGCAAACTTTTGTGCCAAAGTTTTCAGGAAAACTTTCTAATATTTGCTTTTGTGTTTCTAACTGATTTTCAGAGAAGTTGTAATTTTGATGTTTTTTCCTTTTAGTGAGCATGCTTTAACAAAAAACAATAACAGAAACTGTGTCAAAGAAAAGGACCTGTAATCTTCAGGGTTTGTAGTCTTTTTCCTCTTAAAAAACCCTTTTCCTAATTAATGGCAGTTACATCTGCATGGCTGGTTTGGGTAAGTCTTCATTTTGTTGTATTGCTGAGTAACAGTCAACAAAGGTTTATCAACTCTTGGTTAAGGGTTCCTTTCATGTTGTGAGTAAACATGAACAATATAGGATCTTATCCTTTTAAGCTATCATGCAAGAAACATGTGAGGTCTCTTAAAAATTCACTGTGCTGGCCGGGCATGGTGGCTCACGCTTGTAATCCTAGCACTTTGGGAGGCTGAGGTGGGTGGATCACTTGAGGTCAGGAGTTCAAGACCAGCCTGGCCAACATGGTGAAACCCCGTCTCTACAAAAATACAAAAATCAGCCGGGCATGATGGCGGGCAGGTGCTTGTAATCCCAGCTACTTGGGAGGCTGAGACAGGAGACTCGCTTGAACCCGGGAGGCGGAGGTTGTAGTGAGCCGAGATTGTGCCACTGCACTCCAGCCTGGATGACAGAGCAAGACTCCATCTCAAAAAAGAAAAAAAAAAAAAAATTGTGCTGGCTGGGCTCAGTGGCTCACACCTGTAATCCCAGCACTTTGGGAGGCCGAGGCGGGTGGATCACCTGAGGTCAGGAGTTCAAGACCAGCCTGGCCAACATGGTGAAACCCCATCTCTACAAAAATACAAAAATTAGCCAGGCATAATGGCGAGTGCCTGTAATCCAAGCTACTTGGGAGGCTGAGGCAGGAGAATCGCTTGAACCCGGGAGTGAGCCGAGATGGCGCCACTGCACTCTAGCTTGGGTGACAACAGCAAGATTCTGTCTCAGAAAAAAAAAAAAAATTAACTGTGCTTATAAATGGGAGCTAAATTAGGAAAAAAATAAAAAGTAAAAAGAAAATGAAAATAAAAATTTAAAAAATATATTAACAAATTAACTGTACTAAGGTAGGATTCTTTTTTTTTTTCTTGAGACGGAGTCTTGCTCTGTCGCCCAGGCTGGAGAGGAGTGGCACAATCTCGGCTCGCTGCAACCTCCACTTCCCGGGTTCAAGTGATTCTCCTGCTTCAGCCTCCCGAGTAGCTGGGATTACAGGTGCCTGCCACCACGCCCGCCTAATTTTTGTACTTTCAGTAGAGATGAGGTTTCACCATGTTGGCCAGGCTGCTCTTGAACTCCTGACCTTGTGATCCGCCTGCCTCCGCCTCCCAGTGTTGGGATTATAGGTGTGAGCCACCACACCCAGCCACTAAGGTAGGATTCTGATCTCACCTGTATGTTATTTATTATGCCTCTCTTAATCTTTATTTTAAAATAGAGGTCAGGTTTTTTGTTTTCTTTATATATAAAGTATGGCACATTCAGTTGTTCATCATTCAAGATGCCTTGCCATTCAGCTCTGTTTAATGATGTGGACCACCCTCTAGAAAAGAAAATCTTTATCCTATCTTGAGCATTTTGGTTTTGAAAGTTTTAGATCAATTGTAATTTCGGTATGGTGTTAGAGGATAATAAGAAGGGAAGTGTAAGGTAAAAATTGGGGCACATCTATAATGCTGTTAAAAACAGACATAACTGAAAAATACACCAGAGAAGCAAAAAGTACCTTCTCCTTGACCATTCTAGAGGTGTTGCAGAAGAAACAGACTTTAGGTGAAGCATATATGTGAGTATAATTATGTTGCGCTTGCTTCTTAATGAAAGACATGTCAATGAAGGACTAGGCACAAGGTAGAGACGCTGATAATGTTGAGTCAGCTCAGGAAATTGGACCTGAAGTAAGAAGATAGAGATTCCTTAGGATGCCTTGACCCTCGAGTAGCAATATCCAAATAAAAATGGCTTAAAGGAAAGCCATAAACCAAGATAACATTATCTAACAAGAAGTCTGAAGGCAGGGCTTTTCCATTGACAGTCCAAGGACTCAATGATACCATCAGATACCTACTCTGCTCTTCTCTCTGTTACACATTCAGCCAGTTTGTGATATCTTTCCTAAGGGTTTTAAAAGGGCTTCAGCAGTTCCAGAGGTCACATGTAGCCATAACTAAGTTCTATGGAGAAACAGCAGTTTCCTCCTGTGCATATCCCGGTATTAGTGAAGAAACCTTTTCCAAAGGCCTGCCAGCTACCTTCAACTCTCTTAGACCCCAGTAGCTAGGATTGGGTTGGTTACATGCCACGCCCTGGCTGTAAGGGAGGCTACAAGGAAGACTTACTGGCACTTTTTGGCCTCTGAAGTACAGGCAGACTGTGCCAGCCAGGAAGAAAGGTAGAAAAGGAATAATTGGTTTTGTTTGTTTGTTTGTTTTGAGACGGAGTCTTGCTCTTGTTGCCCAGGCTGGAGTGCAGTGGTGGGATCTCGGCTCACTGGAACCTCCGCCTCCTGGGTTCAAGTGATTCTCCTGCCTCAGCCTCCCCAGTAGCTGGGATTACAGGCACCTGCTACCATGGCTGACTAATTTTTTGTATTTTTAGTAGAGACGGGGTTTCACCATGTTGGCCAGGCTGGTCTTGAACTCCTGATCTCAGGTGATCCACCCGCCTCAGCCTCCCAAAGTGTTGGGATTATAGGCATGAGCCACTGTTCCCGGCCAGAAGGAATAATTGTTAGACAACTCACAGTGTCTGCCATATTTGCCACAGAAAATAACTGACTTGCTCTCTGCTGTCTTACTGTGATAATATATTTTTTTAACGCAATTTACAAAAGGGGGGGAACATTCTTAAATTTGAAACTAGGAATTATGATATTTGCAGTTTCATATTGTATACAGTAAACAGTCTTCAAATTCTAGTTCTCCTTGAGATCTTATACAATGATAACAGTTTTAAAATTATGCCTTCTGTTTTTTGAACAGCTTTTTACTATTGACAGCTTTTAAGGAAGTAGTTTTCATGTTGTCGTGTTTACTCTCTTACTAGACAGGAAGACAGAACAGAAATCCATCCTCAACTTCTGGGGATAATCTGAGGATTATAATGAAATATCAGATGCTTAAATGATTTCAACAGACTTTTAGATGAAGTTGCCATTAGCACCTTGTTATCATCAATGTAACACATAGGCAAGTGGATTAAAATAAGAGGGCTAAACTGGCCTTTATGTTGAAATTAGAAGTTTCGTTGTCCTACAGGCAGAAATGACAGTTTCATTGGATTCTCTATGTTATAGTAATATATCAGAAGGATAGCTTGAGATGAGACTATTTTGAAGATACATGGGGTGGATATTCAAAGTGCCTTTTACATAGTTACTGTCCTCCACAGTTTCCCCATTAAATGTGGAATCCTTGTGATTGCATTCTTGGAGGGCCATCGAAAACTAGTGAAGCACAGAGAGACTATTTTTTTTCTATAGATATTAATCTAAAGCAATAATTGGCAAAAAAAAAAAAAAGAGATTTAAAATGTAGGATAAAGGCCAGGTGCAGTGGCTCATGCCTGTATTCCCAGCACTTTGGGAGGCTGAGGCAGGTGGATCACCAGAGGTCAGAAGTTCAGGACTAGTCTGGCCAACATGGTGAAACTCCATCTCTGCTAAAACTACAAAAACTTAGCTGGGCGTGGTAGTGCGCCCTTGTAATCCCAGCTACTGGGGAGGCTGAGGCAGGAGAATTGCTTGAACCTGGGAGGCAGAGGTTGCAGTGAGCCGAGGTCTTGCCACTGCACTCCAGCCTGGGCAACAAGAGGGAAACTCCTTCTCAAAAAAAAGAAAAGAAAAAAGAAAATAATATGGTGCTGTGCTATGGGATAATGGGGAATACCTACTTTATATAGGGTGTTCAGAGAAGGCCTTGAAAAGAAGAAACATTTAAACTGAAATTAAAGGCTGAGTTGAAGCAACCTATTAAAGAGCTGTGGGAAAGGCATCCTAAGTGAAGGAAATGGCGTGTGGAAAAACTGTGATACAGAAAAGACCTTGACATGTTTTAGGAATGGACAGAAATCCAGTGTGACTGTGGTTGTCCTAGTGGAGAATGTTGTGATTTTGGACAGGTGGATAAGCAGTCAGATCATATAGGCAAGTGCTTTACATTTTTACCTTTTGTGCAGTGGAAAACCCAATTGGAAGTATAGTAGGCATAAATTTTGTAGACTACATACTTAAATATACAAAGATGTAATTTTCTTTCTTTCTTTCTTTTTTTTTTATTTTTAGAGATGACTTTTTGTTTGTTTGTTTTTTGTTTTTTGAGGCAGTCTCACTCTGTCACCAGGCTGGAGTGCAGTGGTGCAATCTCAGCTCATGGCAACCTCTGCTTCCTGGTTTCAAGCAGTTCTCGTGCCTCAGCCTCCCAAGTAGCTGGAATTGCAGGTACACATCATCACACCTGGCTAATTTTTGTTTTTTGCTTTTTTGAGACGGAGTTTCGCTCTTGTTATCCAGGAGTGCAATGGCGTGATCTTGGCTCACTGCAACCTTCACCTCCCAGGTTCAAGTGATTCTCCTCCCTCAGCCTCCCAAGTAGCTGGGATTACAGGCATGCGTCACCACACCAGGCCAATTTTGTGTTTTTAGTAGAGGCGAGGTTTCTCCATGTTGGTCAGGCTGGTCTCGAACTCCGGACCTCAGGTGATCCGCCCTCCTTGGCCTCCCAAAGTGCTAGGATTACAGGCGTGAGCCACTGCGTTCAGCCTAATTTTTGTATTTTTTAGTGGAGACGGGATTTTGCTGTGTTGGCCAGGCTGGTCTTGAACCCCTAACCTCAAGTGATCCACCGCCCCTTGGCCTACCAAAGTGCTGGGATTACAGGCTTGAGCCACCATGCCCAGCCTAGAGATGAGGTCTTGCTATGTTGCCCAGGCTGATCTCCAACTCCTGGGCTGAAGTGACTCTCCCACCCCGGCCTTTTAAAGTACTGGGATTACAGGTGTGAGCCATTGTGCTTGGCCAACTTCATTTCTAAATAACTAAAATTTCCTTAGCTCTGTTTCTACTAGGTAATAGAGAACAATCCTGCTAAACAATCTTGCCACTTTAGGATAAAAAGTCAGTAGCTTCTGGCTTAACTAAATTAATTACATGTTAATCTAAACCCTTGGTAAATACTTGGTCCTTTTGGTAAATGTTCAGTTTCCTCACAGAGCCCACCCCTTCCCTTTTTTTCCCTATGGTAGATGGTATTGGTAGAGAAATCTTATAATTTTTCCTGGCATTAAGGGAGAGTCATCTTATCTTTGTGCTGTCCTCTGTCCTTCTGAGCCATTGCAAATGACTGGCTTGGTCTTGAATGGGATTGTCTGCCTCTGCCACTTCTGAGGATGATGTCCCTGCTACTACTGTAGCCCCTGGGCAACACATCTGTGCATGCTGGGTCCTCCTTAATCCCAGGCTGTTTTGGGTATACTGGCCCAGTGGTGAGTGCTGATATGCTTGGGACCCTAATAAAGCAGCTTTTCAGGAATATGGTTTGGGCATGTCATTGGCTATTATGCCTTTAGCAAGGCATGATATTGTATTAGGTGCAAGGTTTTACTAAATGGCTACAGTCCCTGGACCATAACTTGGGAAAGGGAAACACAATTATTTCCCATTCTGGGTCCTTCCCCACAAACACTGGAGATTTTTCTTACCCTTCCGCAAATAAGATTTTTTTTTTTTTTTTGAGACAGTTTCATTCTTGTTGCTCAGGCTGGAGTGCAATGGCTCGATCTCGGCTCACTGCAGCCTCTGCCTCCTAGATTCAAGCGATTCTCCTGCCTCAGCCTCCCGAGTAGCTGGGATTATAGGCGCTTCTACCACACCCAGCTAATTTTTTGTGTTTTTGGTAGAGACAGTGTTTCGCCATGTTGGCCAGGCTGGTCTCGAACTCCTGGCCTCAGGTCATCCACCCTCCCCGGCCTCCCAGAGTGCTGGGATTACAGGCGTGAGCCACCTCACCTGGCCCCTCAAATAAGATTTAGCTCCAGATAGGACAGGAGGCAAAAATTCTAAATTTACATCCACTCTTTCTTTTAACTCTTGTTTTTCTTTGAACTCTTCCCCCAAGTTTTTATGTCATCTTGATCAGTGTGAGAGAACTGTACTTATGTCATCACCTGCCTTTCCTCTGTGCTGGAGTCTACATGACAAATTCTGCCATGAAAGTTTTCTTGATTTGGTTGGTGATAGTTAAAATCACAGTTTTAGAATTTAAAAAGCTGTCTTGGCCGGGTGCAGTGGTATGGTTCTGAGGATTAATTTTATATACACACATATAAACACTCACACACACATTTGAGTTCAAAATGTATGTTACTACATTTTACAAAGGAATAAGTGATTTCATAGATTCTGTATCAATATTAAATCTTGGCTGGGTGCAGAGCCTCATGCCTGTAATCCCAGCACTTTGGGAGGCTGACACAGTTAAGATCACTTGAGCCCAGAAGTTTGAGACCAGCCTAGGCAACATAGTGAGACCCTGTCTCTACAAAAAATACAAAAATTAGCTGAGCATGTTGGCACACACCTGTAGTCCCAGCTACTCAGGAGACTGAGGTGGGAGGATCGCATGAGCCCAGGAGGTTGAGGCTGCAGTGAGCTATGATTCTACCACTGCACTCCAGCCTGGGCAACAAGAGAGAGACCCTGTCTCTCAAAATAAGTAAATAAATAAATAAAAAGTTCTCTTTTGGCCAGGCACAATGGCTCATGCCTGTAATCCCAGCACTTTGGGAGGCCGAGGCGGGCGGATCACAAGGTCAAGAGTTCGAGATCAGCCTAGCCAACAGGGAAACCCCATCTCTACTCAAAATACAAAAAATTAGCCGGAAGTGGTGGCGGGTGTCTGTAATACCAGCTACTCAGGAGGCTGAGGCAGGAGAATCACTTGAACCCGGGAGGCAGAGGTTGCAGTGAGCTGAGATTGCACCATTGCACTCCAGCCTGGGTGATGATGTGAGACTCCATCTCAAAAAAAAAAAAAAAAAGCTCTCTTTTCTCTTAAGCCTGTAGGTCTTATGATTGAAATTCTTAGCTTTCAAGAATTATCATTTTAATGGATCAAAGACCTAAATATAAGAACTGAAACTATAAAACGCTTAGAAGGAAATGTAGGTTTAAATATTCATGAACTTGGATCAGGCAGGTTTCTTAAATATGACTCCAAAAGTGCAAAAGAACAAATAGATAAATTGGACTTTATTAAAATTAATTTTTTTTTTTTGGTGAGATGGAGTTTTGCTCTGTTGCCCAGGCTGGAGTCAGTGGTGCCATCTTGGTTCACTGCAACCTCTGCCTCCCGGGTTCAAGCGATTCTCCTGCCTCAGTCTCCCAAGTAGCTGGGACTACAGGCGCGCACCACCACGCCTGGCTAATTTTTGTATTATTAGAAGAGATGGGGTTTCACCATATTGGCCAGGCTGGTCTCGAACTCCTGACCTCGTGATCTGCCCACTGTGGCCTCCCAACGTGCTGGGATTACAGGCATCAGCCACTGCGCCTGGCCCTTAAAATTAAAAATTTTTTTAAAGTTTTTATTTTTTTGAGACAGGGTCTCATCATGTTGCCCAGGCTGGAGTACAGTGGCGCCATCATGGCTCACTGCAGTTTCAACCTCTCTAGACTCAAGCGGTCCTCCCACCTCAGCCTTCTGAGTAGCTGGGACTGTAGGCATGTGCCACCACATCCCAGTAAGTTTTGTATTTTTTGTATTATAGAAATGGGGGCCAGGCACAGTGCTCACTCCTGTAATCCCAACACTTTGGGAGGCCGAAGTAGACGGATCACTTGAGGTCAGGAGTTCGAGACCAGTCTGGCCAACATGGTGAAACCCCCTCTCTACTACAAATACAAAAATTAGCTGGGCATGGTGGCACGCGCCTGTAATCTCAACTACTTGAGAGGCTGAGGCACGAGAATCTCTTGAGTCCGGGAGGTGGAGGTTGCAGTGAGCTGAGACCATGCCACTGCACCCCAGCCTGGTTGACAGGGCAAGAGTCTGTCTCAAAAAAAAAAAAAAAAAAAAAGAAGTGGGGTTTCACCATGTTGCCTAGACTGGTCTTGAATTCCTGGGCTCAAGCAACCTGCCTGCTTTGGCCTCCCAAAGTGCTGGGATTACAGGTGTGAGCCACTGCACCTGGCCAAAATTAAAAACTTCTATGTTTCAAAGGACATCATTAAGAAAGTGAAAAGACAACCTACAGAACGGGATTAAATATTTGCAAATTGTGTATCTGTTAAGGGTCTAGTATTTAGAATATGTAAAGAACTATCACAGCTCCATAAGAAAAAAGCAAATAATCCAATTGAAACAATGGGCAGGCCAGGTGCGGTAGCTCACGCCTGTAATCCCAGCACTTTGGGAGGCCAAGGTGGGCGGATCACGAGGTCAGGAGATCGAGACCATCCTGGCTAACATGGTGAAACCCCGTCTCTACTAAAAATAGAAAAAAATTAGCTGGGTGTAGTGGCGGGTGCCTGTAGTCCCAGCTACTCGGGAGGCTGAGGCAGGAGAATGGTTTGAACCCAGGAGGCTGCAGTTGCAGTGAATGGAGATTGCACCACTGCACTCCAGCCTGGGCGACAGAGCGAGACTCCGTCTCAAAAAAAAAAAAAAGGGCAAAGAATTTGAAGAGATATGTCTCCAAAGAAAATGTGCAAATGGCCAAATAAACACATGAAATAAACACATGAAAAGGTGTTGAAATCATTATTCATTAGGGAAATGCAAATAAAAATCACAGTGAGGCCAGGTGTAGTGGCTCATTGCCTATAATCCCAGCACTTTGAGAGACTAAGTCAGGAAGATCACTTGAGCCCAGAAGTTAGAGACCAGCCTGGGCAACATAGGGAGATAGGCGTGGTGGTTTGTGCCTGTAGTTCCAGCTAGTCGAGAAGCTGAGGTGGGAGGATCTGCTTGAGCCTGTGCCGTCGAGGCTGCAGTGAGCAGTGATGGTGCCACTGCACTCCAGCCTGGGCGGCAGAGCAAGACCCTGTCTCTAAAATAATAAATGATAATAATAATAATAATAGAGATACCAATTCACACCCACTAGAATGACTATAATAACTTAAATCTCAAAAAAAAAAAAAACCCAAAAAACAAAACCCCAACAACTGTTGGTGAGGATGTGGAGAAATGGGAACCCTTATAGGGT